>NC_000012.12:76702552-76854067 GCF_000001405.40 Homo sapiens
AACACAATTTCATTATCAAGACTAGGGCCATCATATATCAACTACTTCAACTCTTTCCTAACCCTACTTTTCTATTTCTGTACCTTCTTTCCTTCCTTCCTACCCTCCGGTCTCAGAGGAATTAACTCACTTATTTATTTATTTATTTTTGATATGGAGTCTTGCTCTGTCGCCCAGGATGGAGGGCAGTGGTGCGATCTCAGCTCACTGCAATCTCCGATTCCTGGGTTCAAGGGATTCTCCTGGCTCAGCCTCCTGAGTAACTGGGAATACAGTGCCTGCCACTATGCCTGGCTAATTTTTATATATTTTTTTTTTAGCAGAGACGGGGTTTCACCATGTTGGCCAGGCTGGTCTCGAACTCCTGACCTCAAGTGATCCGCTTGCCTCAGCCTCCCAAAGTGATGGGATTACAGGCATGAGTCACCACGCCTGGCCGGAATTAACTCAAATTTGTAAGTACCGCAGGTGACCTCCAATGGAGTTTCTTGGCTTGACTTCCTTGCCTATCTATAACCTTGCTATTTGCATAATTATTGTCTATAAACATGTGAATAACTCTGTCTAGTGGGCAGACAACCATTCTCTTCCCCACCCTAACCATTCCCATGGAAAAAGCCAGTTTTGCAGTTGTTTATTAAATTCCTTTCAACATTCCTTTACAATATATAAATTTATGGTTCTCTGATTTCAAATCCGTTGCACCATCTTTGCAATTCCCTCACTAAATAATATACAATAATAATCTTTAACATGTCTTCTCTTTATTTCTATGAGAGTTATGATTTTCCTTTTTAAAAAATTGTTCTTGGCAGTGTGCAGTGGCTCATGCCTCTAATCCCAGCACTTTGGGAGGCCGAGGCAGGCAGATCACCTGAGGTCAGGAGTTCGAGACCAGCCTGGCCAACATGGTGAAACCCCGTCTCTACTAAAGAATACAAAAGTTAGCCGGGTGTGGTGGTGGGTGCCTGTAATTCCAGCTACTCGGGAGGCTGAGGCAGGAGAATCATTTGAACCCGGGAGGCGGATGTTGCAGTGAGCCAAAATCGTGCCACTGGAATCCAGCCTGGGTGACAGAGCAAGACTTTGTCTCAAAAAATAAATAAATAAATACACACAAAATAAAAAATTATTCTGACACTTAGATAAGCTTTTGGAAGATGAAGTCTATATTTTCTAGTTCCACTTTCTCACTTTCTATTTCAATTTTTAGTTACCCACTGAAATCTATCTGTGCAGCTCATTCCCTGCAAACAAACCTCAATAGTGTACTGAAACCATTCTGGAAAGGGTCAAAAATAGCAAATACTTCTCTGTTTTATCTTTCTGTCATTTGCTGCATTTGGTACTATAAAATCTGAGTAATATACCAGCAGGAGAGACAAAGACTATCTCTCATGGCCTCATTTGTGCAACCAAAATTATTCCAGCCACAGATGTTTCTGACCTGTTCCTGTTTCAGTGTTTTACGTGAATTCTTTCTTTTTGCTTTTTTTCTAAATCCTGGGGGAGGAAGCTGAAATTAAACAGTGCAGATGTCTGTGTAATCACAGCCGTCTCTCTCTTTCTAAAGTTATAAAAGTGCCTCATCCTGATAGGGAGAACTTCCCAGTTATGCAGCTGAACAACTTGAAGCTTTATATTTTCTAAAAATAATACGGTCTTTTCCCATAAAATCTTCCAACATTGTCCTTTATTAAAAACAAACAGACAAAATACTTCCTTTAGGTTTTTTTTTTTTTTCTTTTTGGACGGAGTCTTGCTCTGTCACCCAGGCTGGAGTGCAATGGTGTGATCTTGGCTCACTGCAACCTCCGTCTCCCGCGTTTGAATGATTCTTCTGCCTCAGCCTCCTGAGTGGCTGGGATTACAGGCGTGCACCACCATGCCTGGCTAATTTTTGTACCTTTAGTAGAGACGGGGTTTTACCACATTGGCCAGGCTGGTCTCGAACTCTTGACCTCAGGTGATCTGACTGCCTCATCCTCCCAAGGTCTCAAATCTCTTCCCTATCTGTACACACTCTTAGAGGATTTTATCTCATCTCAAGGCTTTAAATCTGGGCCCTATACTGAAGACTCCTAAATGCATATTCCAGCTCAGACCACTCTTGGAACTCCAGATTTGCGTGACTGATTACTACTTAATATCTCCTTGGACATCTAAAACCACCTCAAACTCAAGATGTCTAAAATTGAGCTCCTGATCTTCTCCCACCACCTCCTAAACTTCATTCCTTCCGCAGATTTACCCATCTTAGCAAAAGGCAGCTTCCTTCATCTTTCTGTTTGCTCAGGTCAAAAGCTCTAGTCATCCTTCCTCCCCACCCCACCCCCTTCTCTTACTCATTATGTCCCATCCCTCAGCAAATTCTGTTGGCACTACTTCAAAATGTGTCCAGACTCCACTATTCTCACCACTGCCACTACCACCACTCTGTTTCAAGCTGCCATTGTCTCTTGCTTGGATTGTGGCATCTTACGTGATTTCTTTACTTTTTACCCTTAACTTGAACTATGTATTCTTAACATAGCAGCCAGAACAATTTTTATAGAACACAAGTCAGGTTGTGTCCCTCTTTTGCTCAAAACCCTCCAATGACTACCCACCTCTTGCACAGTTAAAGCCGGAGTCCCCAGAATGGCTTTAAGACGCTACAGAATCTGCCTCTATTTTCTGGCAGGGATCTGGACCTTATCTCCTACTTCTACTTCTTTACCATTCCAGATCAGGGACTCAATTTTGGTCATGTTGAGTTTGATGTGCCTTTCAGATTTCCAAGGGCCTCCTTGCTCTTCCTTTAATACACTGAGCATGCTCTCACCTGGAGGTTTTTGTACTCCTGATCTCTCTACATGAAAGGTCATTTGCCTGGGTATCTGCAGGGCTTGCTTTCTTCCCTTCTTTCAGGCTTTTGTTCAAATATCACTTTCTCAGTGAAACCTGCCCTCACTACCTTGTATAAAATCACAACTGCCCCCAAGCCCTACACTCTGGCCCTCACTATCCGATTCTCTGCTGCTCATTTCTCCATAGCACTTGTCATTGCCTAACATTCTATGCATTTTACTTTTGTTTATTGCCTTTCCCCACAGAGAAGGCTATCTAAGCTGCAGAGTTGACCATATTCCTCCTCATTGAAAGGCAGCACAATGTCATGTTCATGATCCCAGGTTATGGAGTCTGACGGCCTGGGTCTGAGCCCTGGTTCCATCACTTAACCTTTCCCTGCCTTTTAAAGTATAAATATAAAATAAGAATAAGTAAAATGAAGATAATAAAAGAATCTTTCTCATAGCCTTGAAGTAAGGACTAAATATCACAGTGCATTTGAAGTGCTTAGAACAGTGCCTGACACATAGAAAGTGCTCAGTAACTGTTACCTATTGTTGTATGTACTGGGTACTGGGGTCTCTGTTCAAGACTCCCTCATCAAGCTTATTCCCCTATCCCAACTGCTGAGAATCTTAGCATTCCACCCTGGGAACTGCCCTTAGCATCAAATAACCACTTCAGAGAACAACTTTGCTTAAGCTCCAGTCCCTCTCAGGTAATGGCCAATAGTAAATGACTGGCTCATGCAAAGATACTAATACAAAGGTCCTGCCCCATTGCCTCAATCTGGGACAACTCTAAGGGTCATCTCACATCTCCTTTTAGAATGAGCTGAGGCTTCAGAGACAACTGCATTACAAGTCAGCTCCTCCTTCTGCCCAGTCCTGCCTTCCTTACAGATGTATCTCACAAGAACACTCCCCAGTAAGCTTGCTGCACACCACTTCCTGTCTCAGAGTCTGTTTCCAGGGAACCCAATCTAAGGCACTGTATGAATCTCTCAATGATCCTTGCAGGATAATCATCTCAATCTTTAGGATAGTATATGAGGTTTTCATGAGCTGATCCCATTCTCTCCCTCTTTACCTTTAACTCTCACAATTCCCCATTTTGTACTTTTTCTGTAAGGCCCCCTCCATGGTGTTCACTGCCTTGATCAAGCATGTTATACACTTTACTTATAATGTTATAATGTACTTATAATTTCTTCCTGGCCAGTTCTTCCTCATTCTTGCAGACTCAGCCCCTGTCTTCCAGAAAACCTAAATCCAGGCTTAATCCAGTCTGAAAGTCCCTCCTGTATACTCTTATAGCACTTTGTTTATATTTTTTAATCAAACCACTTACTATATTAAACTAAAATTATACAGAATATTATTAATATAGCAACAGTTTGATAGTTATTATAAGGAGGTCTACTAATTCAGCATATGAAGAATTACTTATAGTTTTACTGTAGTTTTGGGGAGAGGAAGGAAGAAGGATAAGGATCAAATTTGTTTATCAGCTACAAGTCTAATTTTTTTTTTTATTAAAATGAAGTCTTGTACTGGTCTTAACCACAGGAATGTTTTGGCTTTTAGTATTACCAAACACTTTTCCCAAAGCAAAATAAAGTAGTTTCTAATGAGTGGATCTTGGAAATAAATACATCTTTGCCTGGTGTTGGTGGGGCCAGGGGGGTGTCAGATGATGAGATTCAGACCCCTGCTTTTGTGACAAGAATAAGGTGAGGACAATGTATGAGGATGCAGTCTTGATCACTGGTTTGGGCAAAAATGGGATGAATACTTACTGCTGACGTGCTATCTTCTTTCTCTTCTGATAATGCTCTAAAATAAAAAAAAACTCTGTGTCCTGTTCAGAAGATATGGTGAAGATCAAAGAAAAGGAGGCTAAGATTGTATCTTTTGCCAGCCCATCCAACCTAACAAAGAATGTACAAATGGTACTTTATTGCCTTGGTTTCAGGGGATGGGAGATAGGGCAAGAATTTGGTAGTGCTTCCTTCTCTTTTCCTTTTTTATTCTCTTTTATTTTTCATTCTTTCTACATGTCTGGTATTAATTTGGTAATTTGGGTACATAAGGAGGGATCGGCTTGAAGAGCTTCCCCCACCCTAATGCTCTGGCTCAAGGGCACTGCGGAACATTCAAGCAAAAATGTAGCCTACTCTGCTTTTTGCTCCAAATGACAAAATGCAGCTAACAGTAAGTTCCGATTTTATACATTTATAATCCAGGCACTGAGAAGTTGACTTAAATCTCATGGTCCCTAGTCCACTGGCCCATGGGCCAGGTGCCCACCTCTGGTCCAGTCAACTATGGCTAGGGCATTGAGTCATGGAGTATTTATGGGGCAGCTCCCACTGTCATAACATGGAAGTCAGAAGAAACAATTCCTGAAATAAAGGGACAAGGATCAGAGAATGTATTGTTAGAATTGTTCTTGCAGAAAATGTTTGAGATTTTTCCACAATGTTTACCAGATACGAGTTAAAATGGGAAGATTTACACATATCAGCCCTGTGTATTTCTGCTTTCTCAAAGAGACTCCATATTTTGAATATTCAAAGAGACTGTTACTTCTTGCATATTTTATTTACATGGCAAGTCTTGCCCTCTGAGAAGGAATACGTGACTTGGTGAGTTAGTGGGATAGGGGGTTGTTTTTGTTTCATCACTCTATGTTTAGATTAGGAGAAAGCTTCACCTACATCAGGAACGCGTGCTTTGGCAGTTGACATTTCTGTGTCTTTCTGCTGATTAATGAACTTTCATTATCTGAATTTTTGGTAAATGTAAATTATAATTTACTAATGTCTTTATGAATACACCCAATTAATGCCTAAGCCAGCCTGGCAAGTAGTACAGAAGCATCACAACCATAAGTAAAACCAAAAGTTAAAACAGCCAGGTTGCTGCTCTCCTGCCAGGAAGTTCATAGAAAATAAAATAGAATGATTTATTTCATCTTGCTCAACGTGAGCTTGTGTATTCTTCCCTAAAGAGTGCCAGACTGGGAGTTGTAATTGTTTATAATCTAAGTAGCTGCTAACTAGCTGTGACACTAGACCAGTCACACCAGTCACAATTGCTCTGGCTTCAGTTTTCCCATCTGTGAAATAAACTGATTAGAACAGATGTTTAAGGGTCCGCCCAGCTTCAGAAATCTCATTCCACTAATTGTGAGTTTCAGAGAGGCTCTTTGCCAGAGAATAGTTATTTGCAGGATGAACATCTATTATAAAAGCAGAAGAAAAAGTAGTAAAGAATATTTAACTCTCCAAAATACAACCAGGCAAACTTAACAAGGCAAAACTCAGTTTATCAGAAGTCACTGCAGTCAGGGAGTAGAGCATCTTGACAGAATCAAGGAAGAGGAATCAGAGAATTGTATAGGATTTAGTTTAGGGGATCTGGGCTTAAGGGTCTTATGGGAGATATTTCAAAATGGGGAATACACATGCCTATAATCCCACCACTTTGGAAGGCCCAGGTGGGAGGAGCTCTTGAAGCCAGGAGTTCAAGACCAGCCTGGGCAAAAAAATGAGACCCTGTATCTAATTCTCCCCACAAAAATTATTAATTAGCTGGGTGCACTGGCCTGTGCCTATAAACCCAGCTACTTAGGAGGCTGAGATGGGAGGATTGCTTGAGCCCAGGAGTTTGAGGCTGCAGTGAGTTGTGATTGCATCACTGCATTCCAGCCTGGGTGACAGAGTGAGACCTCGTCTCTAAAAACATAAAAATAAAGTAACAATAATAATAATAAACACCAAACTGGGGAACAGATCAGGATTGGGCAAGTTTATGAAATAATAGTTTAGGGTTGGTAGGCATAGTGAGATGAAACTTTTGAAGTGACTCTTGATATATAAACCATGGTTTGATAAGGGAACTTTATCCAGGTAAGCAGGCTTCTCTCAGATGATCTGATTTGCAGGGATTTCCTGAAGCAAACAGTGAAGTTATTTATTGGTTTATGGTCTTATCTTCTCTGGACAAATTTTCCTGGAACAAATAACTAAGTTATGTTGACAGAGGTGGTCTCGGTTCTTAGGCCTTATAGTTATATCATATTGATGCGGGTGGCTGCAGTTCTCATGAATTTTGAGTTAATATATAGAAGATAATAGCCTGTAGCTATTATAGAAATAGAAGAAAATAGCCTGTAGCAGAAAAGTGTTTGATGAAAGTGACACTTCTGGCCTATTTTGAGTTCCATACTCAAATATTCTACTTTCTGCTCGATATCTTTTCTTGGATGTATTATATATTTATCAGATTACAAATGGAACAAATAACAAATTCTAAAGAGAACTCCCTCGATATTCTCCATCTCAGTAAACAGTACCACCATCCACCCAGCTATTTAAATCAAAAACCTAGGAGCGGCTCTTTCCTCATACCCCCACATGCCATAACAAGTCTTATTGGTTGGACCTCCAAAATATATATCCAACTCAACCACTTAACATCTTCAACGTTAAAACCCTAGTTCAAGCCATCATTATCTCTTGTCCAGGCACAGAGTCATTATATTATGATATTCCACACTGCTCTTTATTTTTCTAGAATATGCATCTTTATTTCCATATCAAGGCTCTTGTGTTTGTCTACCCTGTCTAGGTCACTGTTCCTCTAGATCTTCCTGTGGCTCCTCCTCATTGTTAAAAATGCATCATTGAAATCCTTTATTGAATCACCCTAACTAAAGTTGACATCTCTCCCCTGTCACTTTATCCCATTGCCACATTTTAGATATTTTAGAGTAGCTAGCAATTTCTGAAGCTATATTATTCTTAACTTTGCCTCCTTGTTTCATGTTTGTCTCTGCTCAGCAAATATAAACTCCATGAGGGGACAGAGCTCACCTGCCATATAAGAGATGCTGTATCCCCACTGCCTTGAACAGAAGCTGGCACATAGTAGATTCTCAGGAAATAATTGAATGAATAGATGGATGAAAGTATGGGTGAGCATATGAATTATTTAAAAAGTAATAGCCAAAGATGCTAAGTATATAATCTCTCCAATCTCGTTAATGGCTTAACTTGCTTATCTCATCATTTAAATTATATTAAATGCCACCTCTCATCCAGTGAATCCCAATGTTAAGTAATGAGATTCTTTTCATGATGAAATTGAGTGCTATCAAATTCATAATATGTATTTTTATGGAACTACTCAAAGAGGCAGGAAAAGGAGAATGGTTAGTTATGAGAGATTCTGGGAACATCTGAATGTTTAACTGTAATGAGTGGTTTAGAGCTAAGACCAAAATCACTAGGATAGCTTGCCTTAAAATTTAAGAACCTCTCTGACTTAATAGTATTTATTTGTTTATTTACACAGACACTAAATGTTAAAATAACTTTCTGGGGGTTCACATGTACATTTAAAATACCATTTTAAAATCTCAGAATGTAAATTGAATTTTAGTAGTTAAAATAAAATATGCAAAGTTTTATATGCACTCTACTCGTGCAACTTAAAGAGAGTTGGTTTTCACCTGCTGAGGGGCTCCCCCAGACAGTACTCTGGGATGTAGCCCTTGGCTGTGGTCTAACGTCATAGAGTTTCATAAATCAAGAAAGCATAGTGCCACAGTGCCAGAAAGTGAATACTAGTGAAGGTAAATCTCAGAGAGCTGATGGAGAATTTGGGAAGCCTGTCAATTTCATATAAGTTTCAATAGATTGAGAGTATATTTTTCACACTATAGAACTAGGCCAGAAAATTCTTAATAAATATTTATTGAGCACCTAGTACCTTCCAGACACTGAACTGGCAATGAGAACATTAGTATTTTTTTTTAAGTCATAGTCCTTGCCCTTTGGGTTTGCATTGTTAAGTGATCATACATTTGGGGACCTAAACAGGGTCTAAATCACCTAGGGCTTCATGTCTTAACATTTGAAGTTTGAAATTGATTCTGAGAGCAATAAGAAGCTGTTGAAGGATTTAAGCAGCAGAGTAGCAGAGTGACATGATTTGATTTTCATTTTACAAAGCATAGTCGCTCTGTTGGAATTTTAGAGTGTGAGATTCCACCAACGTGGGAGGTTGGTAGTGGAGGTCAGAGGCAAATAAACTGTAAACCATTTAGAAGACTATTGTCATAAACCAAGTCAAGAGATGATGGTGTCCGGAATTAAGAGAGTTACAATAGAGTGATACAACCATGGAAATACTAAGATTGAGAATTTATAGAACCCAGTGAATACTTTCATTTTGTTATATTATTTTTTTAGAGACAGAATTTCACTCTGTTGCCCAAACTGGCCTTGAACTCCTGGGTACAGGTGATCCTCCTGCCTCAGCCTCCCAGGTAGCTAGGACTGCATCCTGACTTCCAGTGAATTATTTGATAAAAGGGGGTACATAGCCAGGGAGAAGGAGTCAAGATTGAAGGCTGGTTTGGCAGAGAAAAGAAGAAGTTCATAAAAAGGATTTTGCCTTTTGTTTATTATTTTTGAAGCTTTACATACTATAGTTTTTGGAGGTAACTTTTTTTTTTTTTTAGATGGAGTTTTGCTGTTGTCACCCAGGCTAGAGTGAAGTGGCATGATCTCGGCTCACTGCAACCTCTGCCTCCCAGGTTCAAGCGATTCTCCTGCCTCAGCGTCCTCAATAGCTAAGATTACAGGGGTGCACCACCACGCCTGACGAATTTTGTATTTTTAATAGAGACGGGGTTTCACCATGTTGGCCAGGCTGGTCTTGAACTCCTGATCTCAGGTGATCCGCCCACCTCAGCCTCCCAAAGTGCTGAGATTACAGGTGTGAGCCACTGCACCCCACCTGAAGTTAATAGTTATTACAAACAAGCATTTAAAAGAAATTGTTACTGTATTAATTTCTTCCAAAAAAATTTAGTGCTGTAAATTATGCTTGTGGTTAGAAATCAGCAAATAGCAAGAAGGGAACTACTGTTTATTACAAATTTCCTTATGGTTCCACTTTTTAACATTTTAAGTGAGTTAATTAATATATTTAACAACAAGACTGGTAAAAATACCCATACTTCACATGTGTACACTGAGCAAACTCTGTGTGGTTGGCAAATGTATAGTTCCCAAGTTTTAAAAGGATGCTCTGCATGTGAACTCAGTGGTAGCAGTGATAAGACCACCCACATTGGTTTTATACAGACAAACTAAATTATCCATATTAGAAATGTTCTAACCATAAACTTTTCTAATTGTTATGTTCTAAAAAAGCACCCTTCAATTAGACAAATAATTGCATTCAGTCAATTCTTTCAAATGTCATCTATACAGCAATTTAAATAGTCTCTGAAATTAAAAAAAATTATGACTCTTCTTTTATAAAAAGCAAATAAGGGAAACAGACCTTTCTATTTTATCCATAGGTATAAAAGAGTGATCATTATTACTGTGTTAAATATTTCTCAGTGGACCTTCTACACCAAGACATGATTACTCAAAATAAACCCATGGTTGCGTGTACTTACATTTTGAGCAGAGTTTTTACAGTTTCTGAATTATTTCAATTGGTATTTTATAATGCAATTACTTTATAAGCCTTTGCTCATTAAAAAGATTTTCTAAGTAAATATTCAGATATTTATGTAATTTGTGTATAGGCAATACATTAGGGTAGTCATGAAGTGAAGCTCATAAACTTAGAAATATGATTGTCAGATAGGTATAAATGTATGAACTGTATAAGAAATGGGTGCACTTATACATATGCAAAATAAGCTTTAAAAGACTGTCTCATTGCCTGAGGAAGCCATGGCTATGGTCTAATTGATTACGTTAATATTTTCAAAAGATAAGAATTAATAAACATACAAAAACATGATAATAAAGGTGAGCCTTATCCCTAATATTTAGTTTGTCTCAGTCCATGGACAGTGGGAGCCTGACAAAGACTGTCCTGTTGGGCAGCTCCGGAATTTCCTGTGGGAGGGACTTATGGGGAGACAATCTCCGCACCAGGAGGAGCTAGAAGCCTGTCTTGAAACTGCATTTGCAAATAGGCACACTGTTTTTATTTCAATCTCGCTGTTATTTGGGTTACTTTAGGGGTGTTGAAGGAGATTTGGAAGAGGCCAAAGTGCTATCAGGCCATCTTTTGGTGCTACCATTGGCTAACCCTCTATTGTATTACAGAGCTGCAGCTCTTAGGTCTTAGGATATACTGGGAGCACTGGGATTTAGAAGAATGTGTCTCTCCAAGATCTTTTTGGATAATTTTTAAAAAGGAAAAAAAGAATTTTCCTTGGTTTACCATACCTGCTATAACATTTATTGGCATGGCACTTTCATAATATTATCCTACCTATCTGTATTTTAGTTTGCTCCTCTGCAAATGAGTATAATCATAACTTGATGAAAGGTTTAGTTTTGAGGATCCAGACTGAATGTCTAAAATGTCTAGTACATAGCAAGCAATACAAAAAGATAGCTATTATTAAAATACCTCAATAGATTAAACACTTAAGTCGTTTTGTCAGTCAATAAATATTTCTTGAATACTTTATTAGTTTTCTATTATTGCTTTAAAAAATCACCAAAAAACTTACTACTTTAAAACAGCATAAATTTCTTATAGTTCTGGAAGTCAGAAATCCAAAGTGAGTCTTGCTGGGAAAAAATTAAGATGTCAACAGGGCTGCATTCCTTCTGGAAGTTCTATCTGGTTCCTTGCTTTTCCAGCTTCTAAATACTATACTTGATTTGTAATCCCCAGCCAGCAATCACATATTTGGACCTCTGCTTCTGCCATCAATCTTCTTCTCTGACTCTGACACTTCTGCTTCCATCTTATCTTTGTGATTACATTGAGCCTACTGGATAATCCCAGATGATCTCCCTATCTCAAGATCCTTAACTTAATCATGCCTGCAAACTCCCTTTTGCTATGTGAGATAATATACTTATAGATGCTCATGGTTCTTCAGAGAAACAGAACCAATAGGATATATATGGGGGTATGGGGGTGTTAGAGGGGGAGAAGAGAGAAGAAAGAGAAACTATAAGGAACTTCCTGACATGATTATGGAGGCTGGCAAGTCCAAAATCTGCAGTGTGTGAGCAAGCAGGCTCTAGATCCAGGAGAGCCAGTGGTGTAGTTTCAGTCCAAAGGCCAGCAGGCAGAGAATCAGGAAAGCCAGTGGTACCAATGACATCCAAAGCAGTCTGCTGAAAAATTCCCTCTTGGTTAGAGAAGCCAGTCTTTTTGTTTTATTCAAGCCTTCAACTGATTGGATGAGGCCCACTCACATTATGGAGAGGAGCCTGCCTTACTGCATGTTCAATGATTTAAATGTTAATCTCATCCAAAAACACCCTCCAATTTGACACGTATAACTAACCATCACAACAGGTTTCAAGGATTAAGATGTAGACATCTTTAGGAGGGGCTCATTATTCTTTCTACCACAAATATCTGTCCTTTGAGATCTATATATTGAGTCCTGTGCTCACCACTAAGACTACAAATACAAGGTTGCTCAGTTTCTGCTTCTAAAGAACTCAAATTTAGTGAAGAGGACTTATAAATGATAACTCCAATATGATAGAGTAGGTGTAATGATAGTTATGCACAGTATGCCATGGTAATATAGAAGAGAGGCAAGTAACTCAGCTAAGTCTGGGAGGTGCAGGTGTGGATGGAGGGAGTAATAAAGAAAGCTTTCTAGAGGGGGACGATGCGTAAGCTGAATTTTCAAGGACATGTGGGAGTTAAAAAAGGGAAAAGCACTGAAGGCAGAGGAGACAAGGAGCACAGAGGAATAACTACTTCTCTAGGTCTGATTCCTCACACAACTCGCAGCTTTCTTATTATAATTTAACTTCCTGTCTTAGTCTGTTTTGTGTTGCTAAAACAGAAGACCATAGACAGGGTAACTTGTGAAGGAAAGAAATTTATTTCTTACAGTTCTGGAAGCTGGGAAGTCCAGTATTAAGGTGCCAGGATCTGGCAAAGGCCTTTGCATCGCCCCACGATGGAAGGCGAGAGGGTGAGAGAGGGAAAGAGCAAGGCAGAGAGAAACAGAGGGAGAGAGGGAGGGAGAGAGAGAGAGAGATAGCAAGAGAAAGCAAGAGCTTGAACTTGCAGCCTCTAAGCCCTTTCATAATTGACATTAATCCATTCATAAGGGTGGAGTCCTCATGACCTAAACTCTTCCCATTAGGCCCCACCTACCAATACTGTTGCATTGGAGATTAAGTTTCCAACACAGGCTTTTTGGAGGAGCACATTCAAATCATAGCACTTCCCTTGAAAATTTTTAATGAGAAAAGAGTATGTTGGCCAAAGAACTCAAGTGCCCAACTTGTTTGGCAATATTTCTCAGTGTAAATGAATAAATTGACATTCAGATGTATATACTGGTCTGTGTGGTGTGGTAGGCATTATTGGTTTCAGACCAAACATCATCTTACCCTTATTCCTTGCTAACAGAATCCAAGTTCATTCAAAGTTTGGTAACAATGTACTCAGCGAAAGCTGACCCCTCTTTTAGCCTCATGGGACAAATTGTGCATGTTCTAATTCAATGGATATATTCATTTCTTTTGTTGTGATTGGGTTGGGGAGGTGGGTAAAAATAGTTGTAGTCACTGAGACAAAAGAGAAAACGGAAGTCAGCTGGGGAGCTTCTGGAAAATATTTTCCTCCTGATAAAAAGGGAGATACATGAGGAGAAGCTCTCAGACCTTCTTTCTTGCTTGCTTTTTGACTTTGTTGTTTGAGGATGTGATGTCTGGAGCTGAGGCAGCTATTTTATTAGCATGAAGGGAAACATGCCATTCATGAGAGCAGAAAAATGAAAAGAGGCTGGGGCCTGAGCGACATCTTTGAGCAGGACCAAAGGTGCCAGAGAAAACTCAATGTGGAGTGCCCTCAGAGATTATCTGCAAAATAATCAAGACTTTCCATTATATTGATTAACCCCCTTTACATTATTTATGTGAAGACAGCCTCTGTCTGTTGATCTTGTCACAGTATAGTATGCCAGGATCCAGAAGGATGACAGGAGAAGAAAGTCTATTCTGAGAAAACATGGACTTATTTTAAACAATTTCTAAACTTTATCTACAAGCTAGTAAACTTTGGACTTATCAATTGAGGAAAATAACCTCCTCTAACACGCTGTACACATCGTCCTTCAAAGTTTTGGAAGTTTCTTGCTCTAATTAAGTTCTAAGAAAAGTTACGGCCAGGAGTAATGGCTCATGACTGTAATCCCAGGACTTTGGGAGGCCAAGGCAGCCGGATCACCTGAGGTCAGGAGTTCGAGACCATCCTGGACAGCATGGTGAAACCCCATCTCTACTAAAAATACAAAAATTAGCCAGGCATGGTGACGCACACCTATAGTCCCAGATACTCAGGAGGCTGAGGCAGGAGAATTGCTTGAACCTGGGAGACAGAGGTTGCAGTGAGCCGAAATCGCACCACTGCACTCCAGACTGGGTGACAGAGTGAGACTCCATCTCAAAAAAACAAAAAATAAACAAACAAAAGTTTTACTTGCAGTATTTTAGCATCATGCTCCCATTATACCTGAGAGTTCAGCTGTGCACAAAATTGTTTTTAAAGACATGCAAAGGTTTTTAAATTTAGATACAATAGACTTTAGTTTTCCTTTAAATTTTGGTTCGTACTTATAAGTATGAAATTATATCTTCCCTGAGATTATCTAAAAGTAAGTTTCAGGTTTATACACACATACTAAAATCATGGATTTTACTGTTTAGAGTATCACATTAACAAATAGTTAAGAACTAGTTAGCAAATAAAGAACTAGAGAATATATCTAAAATGGATACTCCTTTTTTCTTTTTGTTCTGGCCCTTTTCTGTGAGAATAAAATGAGCATTCCATTTAGCATCCTCCCCTCTTTTAAAACTACTTTTTATTACTATTAAAGTATGGTAAATGTTCTGCACCATTATTGTGTATCCTTGCATTATATATTGATTTATGGCATATTTAAGTAGCAATTATTCTCACTGTTGTGAAGTGCTTGTGCTCTGCTCATTCAACATGCAAAAATTTTAAATTACAGTACATTAAGATGTCAATGATAAAAGGGAACATTCTAAAAATAAAGTGATTTTTAAGCATATTATAAAATGACTAACTCTTTACCAGCAAGCACATACTCTACATTCCCTTAAATGCTTCTTAGAATCCCTTATGAAACAAAGAGGACAAAGAGGCATACTAACTATTTTATGTTGGTGGGATCGAGAAATTGCATCTCCTGATTCTTTAGCACTGGTTATCATAGGATTAGACTTACTTTTCAGGCAAGGGTGAGCCTTGTTATAGCCAAAGATAATCTAATGTACATTTTGTTGATCTTCCTGATGACCTTTCCTTTCTATTTTTAGCTAAAGCAGCACATTGATTCAATATCTTTAGGCAAGACTCATGGTGATTCTCTGTTCTCATGAATGAAGGAAATGTTAAAAAAAAAAATACTACTTCTATGTGTCAATAAAATTAATTTGCCTCTTATTTGCTTCCATTGTAGCCTTGAAAAATTTCTTTGAAGTGCCTGTGTATGAACCAGGAATTTCACTATCATTTTTAGAGTCTTCTGAAGGCTAATGGATTTGGTAACACACTCCCTTTTCTGTACGGCTTCTGAAAATATTGTTCAGCTGTATGTGGTGTCTCACATCTGTAATCCCAGCAATTTGGCAGGCCAAGGCAAGAGGACTGCTTGAAGCCAAGAGCTCAAGACCAGCCTGGGCAACATAGTGAGACCCTGCCTCTACAAAAATAAATAAATAAAATTTTTTGAAAAATGAAAATATGGCTTAAAGCAAGTCTGAACCCTGCAGAGCCCAGCTTTCTGAATTGCTTTACTCAGAGATTTGTTAATTTATTATTTTAGCAAATATTTACTGAGTAATTGTGACGAGATGAATGTTAGAGATACATCAGTGATCAAGAGAAAACTGATTCCCTATTCTTCTGAGTTTCAGCCTGGAGGAAAGAGGATGAGGATGAGGCAGGGTGTAAGGGAAAGAAAATAGCATTAACTGAATGGCCACTCTGTGCTAGCTACTGCATTGTCTGGGTATGATCCCATTTAAACCTCACAGAAACCCTATGGGGGAGATTTTTTATAATTATCCACATTTTACAGATAAGAAACTGGGATTTAGAGAAACATGCGACTTGTTCAAGACTGCAGAGCTTCAAAGTGGCAGAGCCAGAAATTCAACTCCAGTTTGTCTGAATCCAAACTATATCCGTTTAAACACTACACCAAAATGTCTCTCTATTCTCTCATGGTGAAAACAACGGATAAAAGAAATAAGACTTTATTTTGCTTACTTGAAAATAACATGTTTTCCTTATAGTTGAGTTTAAGCACCTTTTCTACACTCGTGGCAATACAATTGAATGTCTTTGGACGTAAATGCTACCCTTTCTCATGCATAGCAGGTGAATTGTCATCTTCAACTAAGCCAACCAGAGAGGCCTCTTGGAGCAAGATGGCCAAATACAATCCTCCAGCATTTCTCGCCCCCTACCCCAACAGGAAAACCAAATTGAACAACTATCCACACAAGAAACCACCATCATAAGTACCAAAAATCAAACGCATGATTGCAGTACCTGGTTTCAATATCTTATCAAGGAAGGAGGCACTGAAGAGGGTAGGAAAGACAGTCTTGAATTGCCAACACCACTACTCCCTCATCCCTCGGGAGTGCCACTCGGCAAAGAGAGACAGTTCATGTGCCTAGGGGAGGGAGAGGAGAGTGAGTGTGGTACTTTGCATTGGAACTCAGTGCTGCCTGTCACAGCAGAAAGCAACACAGGGCAGAATTCAGCTGGTGCTCTGGAGGGAGCATTTAGAGCAGCCCTAGCCAGAGGAAATCATCTATCCCAGCAGTCAGAACTTGCTAGCGCCACCATTGCCTGGCAAAGTGCTCTAGCATCCTCAATAATCTTGAAAGGCAGTCTAAGCCATCAGGACTGCAATAATTGAGCAAGTCCTGGTGCTGTGCTGGGCTTGGAGCCAGCGGACTTGGGGTGCATGCCACTTAGTGAGACATGAGCTGGGGCAGCCAAGGGAGTGCTTGCATCAATCCCCATCCCCCAATTTCAGGGAGCACATCTCTCAGCTCTGGCAGACACTCCTTCTGCTTGAGGAAAAGAGAGAAGAGAGTAAAGAGGACTTTGTCTTGCAACTTGGATACCAGCTCAGCCACAGTAAAATAAAGCACCAAGAAGAGTCCCAAGGCCCTCATTCCAGGCCTTAGCTCCTGGACAACATATTCAGACCCACCCTGGGCCAGAAGGGAACCTGCTGCTCTGAAAGGAAAGATCCAGTCCTGGCGGGGTTCATCACCTGCTGAATAAAGAGCCCTTGGGCCTGAAATAAACAGCAGTAGCCAGGCAATGGTTGCCACAGGCCTCAGCCAAGACCCAGTATCATGCTGGCTTCTGGTATGACCAAGCGCAGTCCCAGTGGTGGTGCCACAGTGCTTGTGTCACTTCACCCCTAACTCCAGGTAGCTCAACACACACAGAGAGATTCCATTTGTTTGGGGAAAGGTAAAAGAGAACAAAAGACTCTGACTGGTAATCCAGGGAATTTTCCCAGATATTACCCAGGACCAACAAAGCAGTAGCCCTACGAGTCTGTAAGAATCACAGTGTTACTGGATTTCATTGCCCCCTAATGCACACATGGCTGCAGTGGGCAAAGACTTAGATCACAGCACTCAATTCCCTTTGAATACTTGGAAAGCTTTCTCAAGAAGGATGGGTGCAAACAAGCCCAGACTGTGAAGATTAGAATAAATACCTGGCTCTTCAATGCCCAGACGGTGATGAACATCCACAAGCATCAAGACTGTCCAAGAAAACATGATCTCACCACACAAACTAAATAAGGCATCAGTGACTGATCCTGGAATGACAGAGGTATGTGACCTTTCAGACAAAGAATTCAAAATAGCTGTTTTGAGTAAGTGCAATGAAATTCAAGATAACACAGAAGGAATTCAGAATCCTATCAGGTAAATATAACAAAAGATTGAAACAATTTTTAAAAATCAAGCGAAATTTTGGAGCTGAAAAATTGAATTAACAAACTGAAGACTGCATCAGTCTCTGAACAGCAGAATGGATCAAGCAGAAGAAAGAATTAGTAAGCTCGAAGACAGGCTATTTGAAAATACACAGGGAGAGGAGAAAAAAATAAAAAGGAATTAATTTGCCCTCAACAGGGCAAATCTAAGAGTTATTGGCCTTAAAGAGGAGGTAGAGAAAGAGACTGGGGTAGAAAATTTATTCAAAGAGATAACAGAGAACTTTCCAAACCTAGAGAAAGATATCAATATTCAGTACAAGAAGGTTGTAGAACACCAAACAGATTTAACCCAAATAAGACTAACTGAAGACATTTAACAATCAAACTCTCAAAGGTCAAGGAGAAAGAAAGGATCCTAAAAGCATCTCAAAAGAGAAAACAAACAAATAACATATGAAGGAGCTTCAATGTATCTGGCAGCAGACTTCTCAGTGGAAATCTTGCAGGCCAGAAGAGAGTGGCATGACACATTTAAAGTGATGAAGAAAAAAAAATGTTATCCTAGAATAGGATATCTAGCGAACATATCCTTCAAACACGAAGGAGAACTAGACTTTCCCAGACAAACAAAAGCTGAGGAATTTCATCAACACCAGACCTGACCTACAAGAAATGTTAAAGGGAGTTCTTTAATCTGAAAGAAAAAGATGTTAATGAGGAATAATAAATCATGAAGGAACAAAATTCACTGGTAATAGTAAGTACACAAAATAACACAGAATATTATAACACTGTAATTGTGGTGTATAAACTACTCATATCTTGAGTAGAAAGACTACGGGATGAACCTATAAAAATAATAACTACAACTTTTTAAGACATAGACAATATAATAAGATATAAATAGAAACAACAAAAAGTTAAAAAGCAGGGAAGGATGAAGTTAAAGTGTAGAGCTTTTATTAGTTTTCTCTTTGCTTGTTAGTTTGTTTTTGCAATCACAGTTAACTTGTCACCAGTGTAAAATAATGGGTTATAAGATGTTATTTGCAAGCCTCATGGTAACCTCAAATAAGAAAACCTACCAGTTTTCCTGCTGGAACCATGGAGGATATCAAAGAGAAGAAGAAGTTTCCTGCTGTGTTAGAATCCCCTCAAAAAAAAGTGAAGGAATTTTGCAGAGCTGAAGATAAAGCACCTGAGAAAGAAGTTTGCCCAAAAGATGCACTGAAAGGCAAGGAGGAAGCTCATCTATGAAAAAGCTAAGTACTATCACAAGGAATATAGGCAAATGTACAGAACTGAGATTTGAATGGCTAGGATGACAAGAAAAGCTAGCAACTTCTATGTTCCTGCAAAGCCCAAATTGGCATTTGTCAGCAGGATTAGAGGTA
This sequence comes from Homo sapiens, assembly GCF_000001405.40. Lineage (NCBI taxonomy): Eukaryota > Metazoa > Chordata > Mammalia > Primates > Hominidae > Homo > Homo sapiens. The sequence continues at coordinate 76,721,824 of NC_000012.12, forward strand.
TCAATGGTGTGAGCCCAAAGGTCTGAAAAGCATTGCAGCTTCTTCACCTTCTTCATATTTTCAATGGAAGCGTTGCTAAGCTTAACAAGGTTTCAATTAATATGCTGAGGATGGTAGGACCATATATTACCCAAACCTGAAGTCAGTAAGTGAACAGTAAGGAAGTCAGTAGATGTCAGCAATCTACAAGTGTGGTCATGGCACATTCAATAAGTGGGCTGTCTTGACAGATAACACTTTGATTGCTTGATATTTTGGTAAATATGGCATCATCTGCATGGAGGATCTGATTCATGAGATCGATGCTATTGGAAAATGCTTCCAAGAAGCAAATAACTTTCTGTGGCCTTTCAAATTATACTCTCCATGAGCTGGAATGACGAAAAAGACCACCCATTTCATAGAAGGTGGAGATACTGGCCACAGAGAAGACCAGACCAACAAGTTTATTATAAAGATGAATTAAGGTGACTATCATGCTTATGTTTGTAATCTGATTAGTTAATAAATAATGACTACTTTCAAATTGAAAAAAATACTACAATAAGTACACAAAAAAATAAAAAACAAGAAATTAAAACATGCCACCAGAGAAAACTGCTTTCACAGAAAGGAAGAAGAAAAGAAGGAAGGAAGGGAGGGAGGGAGGGAGGGAGGGAGGGAGGGAAAGAAAACCAGAAAGCAAATAACAAAATGGCAGGAGTAAGTCTTATCAATAATAACTTTGACTATAAATGGACTAAATTCTCTAATCAAAAGACATACAGTGGATAAATGGTTAAAAAAAAACCAACAAGACCCAATGATCTGTTGCCTATAAGAAACACACTTCACCTATTAAGACACACATAGACTGAAAATAAAGGAACAGAAAAAGATATCCCATGTCAGTGGAAACCAAGAAAAGAGCAGGAGTAACTATACTTATATCAGACAAAATAGATTTCAAGACAAAAACTGTAAGAAGAGACAAAGAGATCACTATATAATGATAAAGGAGTCAATTCAGCAAGAGCATATAACAATTGTAAATATATATATATGTGTATATATATGTGTGTGTATATATATGTGTGTATATATATGTGTGTGTGTATATATGTGTGTGTATATATATATGTATATATATGTGTGTGTGTATATATATATATGTGTGTATATATATATGTGTGTGTGTGTATATATATATATATATATATATATATATATATATATATATATATATATATACATACACTCAACACTGGAGCATCCAGATATATAAAGGAAATATTATGAGCACTAAAGAGAGAGATACATTCCAATACAATAATAGTTGGAGATTTGAACACCTTACTTTCAGCATTGGGTAGATCATCCAGACAGAAAATCAACAAATAAACATAGGACTTAATCAGCCCTATAGAACAAATGAACCTAAAATATATTTACAGAACATTTCATCCAATGGATACAGAATACAAATTCTTCTCCTCAGTACATGGACCATTTTCTTTTATTTTGACACAGGGTCTTGCTCTGTTGCCCAAGCTGGAGTGCAACAGCACAATCATAGCTCACTGCAGCCTCTATCTCCCAGACTCAAGCCATCTTCCCACCTCAGCCTCCCAAGCAGCTGAGACTACAGGTACATGCCACCATGTCCATTATTTTATTTTTGTAGACATAGCATCTCACTTTGTTGCCTGGGCTGGTCTCAAACTCCTGGGCTCAAGTGATCTCCTGCCTCAGCCTCCCAAAGTGCTAGAATTGTAGATGTGAGCCAGCATGCCTGACTTGGATCATTCTTAAGGACAGATCATATGTTAGGCCATAAAACAAGTCTTGAAAAATTCAAAAAAACAAGAACAAAAAATCCCAGAGAGGCCTCTGATACACAGATTAGATACTTACATGCATACCAGATATAAGATACAAGATGTGTGTGTGTGTGTGTTTGTATAATTATCTATAAAATGAAAAAAATTGACAATATGTGAACTGGAGATTTCAGCAGATAAATGAAAACTAAAAAAAAAATCAAATGAAATGCTAGAAATAAAAAATACGATATCAAAGAATTCATTCCATGGGCTTAACAGCAGTCTTGACACAATAATATCAAGGATTGTTAATAGGCCAAAGAAAGGATCACTGAACTTGAAGCCATTTGGGTCAATAGATAATAGACATTACCAAATTAAAACACAAAAAGGAAAAAAGATTAAAATAAAGACTATAATATCCAAGACTTTTGGAACAATATCGATGCTCTAAAACATGTAATTGGAGCCCAAGAAGGATAGATGAAGGAGTGTAAGAATTTCCAATGACTTCTCAAAAATTTTGAAAGATATCATCTTATATCAAGAAGCTTAACCAACCACAGGCAAGACAAACACAAAGAAAACACACATATGTATATTATAGTCAAACTATAATATCTTTAAAGTGTAGAAAGAGGCTGGGCGTGGCAGCTTACACCTGTAACCCCAGCACTTTGGGAGGCCAAGGCGGATCACCTGAGTTCAGGAGTTCGAGACCAGCCTGCCCAACATGGTGAAACCTCATCTCTACTACAAATACAAAAAATTAGCCTGGAGTGGTGGCACAGGCCTGTAGTCCCAGCTGCTTGGGAGGCTGAGGCAGGAGAAATGCTTGAACCTGGTAAGTGGAGGTTGCAGTGAGCCAAGATCTTGGCACTGCACTCCAGCCTGGGTGACAGAGTGAGACTCTGTCTCAAAAATAAATAAATAAATAAATAAATACATAAAATGCAGAAAGAAAAAAAGTCAACCGAGAATACACCAAAATATCTCTAAAAAGTAAAACAAGGTCGGGCATGGTGGCTCACACCTGTAATCCCAGCATTTTGGGAGGCTGAGGAGGGTAGATCACTTGATGCCAGGAGTTGGAGACCAGCCTGGCCAACATGGTGAAACCCCATCTATACTAAAATACAATAATTAGTCAGGCGTGGTGGTGCACATCTGTGATCCCAGTTACTCGGAAGGCTGAGGCAGGAGAATCGCTTAAACTCGGGAGGCAGTGGTTGCAGTGAGCCAAGATTGCACCACTGCACTCAAGCCTGGGCAACAGAGTGAGATCCTACCTCAAAAAATAAAATAAAATAAAATAAAATAATAATATAAAACAAAACAAAATAAAGACATTTTCAAATAAAAAGAGAGAATTTGTTGGCAGTTGACTTAAACTACAAGCAATGCTAAAAGAAATTATTTGGTCTAGAGGGGAATCATATCAGATAAAAGCCAGACCATCTATTTATATTTCATATATGCTTATATGTTCATGTAATATACATAGATAGATAGATAGATAGATAGATAGATAGATAGATGATAGATAGATAGATAGATAGATAGATGATAGATAGATAGATAGATAGAGAGAGAGAGAGAGCGCAAGAGAATGAAAGAGAGAGACATAGACTGACAGATAGACTTCTGGAATCTGCAAGAACTGGCAGAAAAATATTATAGAAAATAAGGTCCCATTTATAAGGGCAAGAAAAAAAACACAAAGTAATTTACAGAATCCTCCCAAGAGTGGTATAAAGTCATTATAAATTCAATTTAGGTATCAGCAGGGGTCCCCCTACCCTGGAATACTGAGTTTCAGATATGATTGGCTCAAATTCTCATTCGCAGGCCCTGAATTTTTGTTCTATTCTCTGCATGATTTTGTGTATTCCTTTATCTCAGCTTGGCACAAGCTGGGTTATAACCCATGCTTTCTGTTCCCTTCTCCCTTCCGAAATTAATCTTGAATAAAAAACTGTACCAAGTAGCAGAAATTTTACTGATGATTTCAAATAACTGAAAATGAATTGTAGAACATTCTTGTTATAAAAAGTCTCTTGTTCATTCCACCAAAGTTTTATCACTGTCCACTTCACCCATGTGCCACTCATCCTTCCACCATCACACAAGCTTCTCTTTTGGCTTTACCATCTTTCTGATTATTTTTTCTCTTCTGTTCTCATTTAAGAAATAAAGCAAACTTTTCTGATGTTCTCATACAGAGCAACTTAGCCTCCCTTCTCATTGCTTTGGTTCCTGGGAACAGTTTCATCTTCCTCCCAGAGTGGCTTCAGTGCATAACTCCAGAGGACTTGTTTACGTTGTAGCCCATGTAAATGGTGCACCAAGCGTTGTGCAGTGCACAGACTGAACAACACTGTGTAGAGGCCCTACCTCTACCTTATTGAGGTATTTTTCTAATCAAAGACTGTTTTGGTCCTAGTTATTATGCGAATAATCTCTCACTTATATTACATAGAAGATCTACAAAAACTTTTTGGGATATTGAAAAAGACCGAATGAGTGAAAAGCTATAAAGCTATGCTGTACATTTGGACAGGAAGTCTAATATTATGAAAATGTCTGTTCTTTCCTAATTACTCCTGGATGTCATAAATTCTAATTAAGATGTAAACAGGTTTTTCTATTTCTTTGGTTTATGACAACAACTTTATAATATATTTGAAAAAATGAATAGGAGAGATAGCAAAAATAAATCTTAAAAAAAGAATATTAAACCCTATAATGAGCACTAACACATCTCTTTGTCAGCTATATAGTTATCTTATTAACCTGCTTCCTCTGTCTATCATCTATATATCTACCTACCTGCCTATCTATCTCTTTTTTGTCTATTTTTATGGACATCTGAAGCATTTTTTTTCTTTCCCTTCCTTCAGGAGAAGGGCATCATCGCCCCCAACACGCATCCCACGTGGTTTTCGTGGAGCTGCCAATCATAAGACTTCACTCCCTGGCCTAAGAGTGGACTTGCTATATAGGCTGCCCACTCCAAAGTAAACCATACTTTTGATCATAATGATTGGTCCAGGGATAAGTACATAACAAGTCACTCAGAAAATTTTCCCTGGAAATCTTCAAAATGAAGCTGAGAATATATACTCTTTTTTGGAAAAAATGACTGGGATGATATAAGCCCAAGCTGCTGGCAGGTAGGTTTTCTATCAGTGGAAAAAGCCCATCTGTTATAGGAGAGAATGAAGTCAAGCAGAAGTAAGCAAACATGAGAGGGTGAGAGAGAAAATCCTAGAGATATTGAATCCCAGCTTGAATTTCTGAAGCCCTACAATCTCTTGGGTCTTCTTTAAAGTTCTTTTCCCAATTCTTGAAACTTCCCTAATATACTTTTAGTAATATAAACATAGATCTATAGATATGGATATAACTAAAGGGAAAATTCTGTCTCTCTTCTGCTCTCCTCCTCCTATTTAATACCCAAAGCAAGAAAGGAAGAGATACCATTCTGATTGGCCAAGATCCCAGACAAGTTTTAGGATTCTCATTTACTGTTGGATGGTTTCACTCTCATCTAATGGTAGTGGTTATGGTGTTCATGATAATAGAGGTGATAAGAGTATTGGTATTTGTTATAGTGGCAACAGCAGCAACTCTGCTCCTGAGTGTGCCAGAAGGTGCTTAGATATACTGAAGTTTCTTTAGGTATTAAAGTCTTCTGGGCTTGAAGTGGGGCTCATGGCTCAGGAAAGAAGATGGTATAGAATTGGTAGGGAATAATATATTCTGAGCAGGCAAATGACATGAGTTATTTTATGCAAACTCTCCAAAGTCCTCCTCAACCAGGAATAATAGAATTCCCTCTCTTTGGAGGAAATCTAGAGGCACCCCATCTTGGCTTTGAGTTATGTGAATTCTACAGTTACGTATTTCTCTAGGTTATCCTATGTTAGCCAAGTATATAAGGCCCCGCTCAGTGTACCATACATTGAGACAGCTCAAGATTCCCATTCTTATTCTCCCCAGCATGGTTTTCTGCTATTCCCTCTGATTCATGTCACCTGAATATTTTATCCTCTCCCTTCATTTAGGGAGTTTGTACAAGTCTCTAAGGAGTCTTTCTTCTGTCACTCATCTATTGATCCATCCATTTAACCAAATCTGTATTTAATAAGAACCTACTATGTGGCAATCACTGCAATAATTGTATCCCAGGAGCTTTTAGCTTGGTAGGAAGACAGACATGGAAACCAACAACTGCTATACCCAGTTATTTGCAGGGCCTTGATATGGTTGGTCCAGAGATCCTTCCTCAGTTATCTCAGCATTTCCAGCATCTTCTTTCCTGTGTTCTGTATCCAATACCCTTTTAGGGATATAGCAGAGGACACTTAGTTTATTCTTCTAGTCATAGGCAAAATCTAGCAAGGAAAAGAAATAAAAATATTTTACCTCAGAATACATTTCTCGACTGGGCATGGTGGCTCACACCTGTAATCCCAGCACTTTGGGAGGCTGAGGCGGGTGGATCACTTGATATCAGAAGTTCGAGACCAGCCTGGCCAACATGGGGAAACCAAGTCTGGAAGAAATATTTTTGTAAAAATACAAAAATTAGCTGGTGTAGTGGCGCACACCTGTAATTCCAGCTACTCTGGAGGCTAAGGCAGGAAAATCACTTGAACCCGGGATGTTACAGGTGCAGTGAGCTGAGATCACACCACTGCACTCCAAACTGGGTGTCAGAGTGAGACTCCGTCTCAAAAACATATATATCTATATCTATATGTATATCTATATATACTTATATATTATATATACTTACATATATTATAAATATACTTATATATAATATGTATACACTTATATATTATATATGTCTATATATATTATACATATATAATATTCTGTATGTTATGGCTTCTATACCATCTTCTTTCCTGAGTCATTAGCCCCGCTTCAACCTCAGAAGACTTTAATACCTAAAGAAACTTCAGGATGTCTAAGCATCTTCTGGCACATATATATATATATTTCTTTGACATATTTTGAGATGGCTGTTCAGAGGGCCAACAAACAGAAGTAGTTAAGCTGTCTTCTGCAGGGCAGATTTGCATCTGTAGAGAATCTGCATTGATGTAGCCGGGCCTTCCCTTGTTCAGATCTAGGAAGGATTAATGGAGAGTCTGACACCTTTAAAAGTCTGGAAGAAATATTTAGCATCATTTACCCTCTCTGAGGGCTGTTACCTGTGAGGTTTCATCTACGTAGCAAGACCACCTTTGCTGGCCAAGCCTCCTCTTCTTTCCCTCCCATAACCTGTCTAGCCACCATAACCTGGTTTGCCATCACAGCCTGTTTTTGATCATGCTCTGAGCCCTCATTCTTTCTGTAACCTCAAGATGGTATATAAGCTTCTGCACCCCATTGAGGATTGGGAATAATCACTCTGTGTTTCTCCACCCTGTGTATGTTAATAAATTTGTATGCCTTTTCTCCAACTAATCTGCCTTTTGTGAGTTAAGTTTTAGTGAAATTTCAGGAGGGTAAAGGGGAAGCTTTTCCTTGGCCCCTATACAACTTATACTCCCCTTATTTCCCTGCTTCCAATGCAGGAGAAGTACAACTGCCCCCACTATAACACGTAATGTTTTCCTCTGTACACACAGCATACATAGTACCAAGACCCCTGTCCATTACTCCAAATGACCCAGCTTTCTGTAGGGCAGAGACAGGAAGTGGGGAAAATTCCATAGCCCTGGCCCTGCAAAATAGCTTCTACTGTCCTTTCAAAGATGGCAATAGAAGAACAATAGGAGAATATATGGAATTGGAGACAAGGTATAGAAGTAGCTTCACTGTTGGCTTTTAAAAATAAATTTCAGGCTGGGCTCGGTAGCTCACGCCTGTAATCCCAGTACTGTGAGAGGCCAAGGCAGGTTTATCGCCTCAACTCAGGAGTTCGAGACCAGCTTGGACAACATGGCAAAACTCCGTCTCTACTAAAAATACAAAAAAAGAAAAAGAAAAAATGGCTGGGCATGGTGCCGCATGCCTGTAGTCCCAGCTACTGGGGAGGCTGAGGTGGGAGGATTGCTTCAGCCCAGTAGGAGAGAGAGGTTTCAGTTAGCCGAGATTGTGCTACTAGCCTGGGTGACAGAGTGAGATCCTGTCTCAAGAAAAAAAAAAATAGATATACGTACACACACACACACACACACACACACATATATAATCACATACGGTAAACCTTATCTCATAATATAAAACTGAGTTTAGTAGTTCATTTACATTACTACTTGTATTATCTATATAGATAAAAAGTGACCAAGCTTTACATTTCACTTTTTTTTTGAGACAGGGTCTCGTTCTGTCACCCAGGTGGAGTGCAACAGTACGATCTCGGCTCACTACATCCTCAACCTCCTGGGCTGAAGCAATCCTTCCACCTCAACCTCCCGAGTAGCTGGGACTACAGGTATGCACCTCCACACCCAACTAATTTTTAAAAATTTTTGTGGAGACGGGCTCTCCCTATGTAGCCGAGCTACCCTTGAACTCCTGGGCTCAAGCTAACCTCCCACCTCAGCCTCCTAAAGTTCTGGGATTATAGGTATAAGCCACCATGCCCGGCCTAAATTTCACTTTTCTAGACTTTTATCTGTGCTACTTTTGTACCTCAATTCATTGTCATCTTAAAATACCACCCACAGTGACATGTAAGCTTTAATTACCAGTTAATTTTACAGTAGAGTTTAATTGTATTTTAGATTGTTTTACAGATTGTGTAGTAATGCAAAATTGTGACTGAATTAAAAATATTTTATTATAAAAGTAGTGTATGTTTGTATAAATAGAAATAGTTGAGAATAAAAAGAAATTGTCCTGTTTTTTTTCTTCTCATTTAAATTCCACTCCCAGGAGTCACAACAATTTCATATGTATCATTACAGATGTTTAGGCATGTACAATATTTCCCCACAAATTGACTTATGGTACACACACACACACACACACACACACAAAATCTTGTAACTAGCATTCTCTACTTAACAATCTGTTGATGCCAAGTAGATATTTCACAGTATGAAACACTGTAATATATTTCATTGTCTCTGGACTACAATTAAAATGATTTTAGATTTTCACTATTACAAATACTGCTATAATAAATAACTTTGTAATATATGTTCTTGCATGCTTATGTGATATATCTGTACGGTAAATTTATAGAAATGGAATTGCTGGGTCAAAGAGCAGGTGTATTTGAAATTTGGATAAATACTATGAGAATGCCATCCAAAATGCTTGTGCCAACCTGTGCTCTTACCAGCAGCATGTGTCGGAGAGTGTTTTTAATCTTTGCCAATCTGGCAGTAAAACATGACATAACATTGTTATTTTAATATGTTTTTATTTAATCAAAAATGTGATCTAGCACTTTATCAGATATTTATTAACCATTCATTTTTTTTCTGAACTGTATTTTTTTTCTGGCTGGATTTTTTTGTATTGCAGATAATTTCCAAGAAAGAATATATATAATTTTGAATTTGACATTACAATGCCTGTATTTTTTTTTCAAGATGGAGTCTCGCTCTGTCGCCAGGCTGTAGTGCAGTGGCACGATCTAAGCTCACTGCAACCTCTGCCTCCCAGGTTCAAGTGATTCTCCTGCCTCAGCCTCCTGAGTAGCTGGGATTACAGGCACATGCCACCACACCCGGCTAATTTTTTGATTTTTAGTAGAGACGGGGGTTTCACCATGTTGGTCAGGCTGGTCTTGAACTCCTGACCTCGTGATCTGCCTGCCTCAACCTCCCAAAGTGCTGGGATTACAGGCGTGAGCCAACGCACCCGGCCTTTTTTTTTTTTTTTTTTTTTTTTTTTTTTTTGAGACAGAGTCTCACTGTGTTGCCCAGGCTGGAGTGCAGTGGTGCGATCTCGGCTCACTGCAACCTCCGCCTCCTGGGTTCAAGCGATTGTCCTGCCTCAGCCTCCCAAGTAGCTGGGATTACAGGCGCCTGCCACCATGCCCGGCTAATTTTGGTAATTTTAATAGAGATGGGGTTTCACCACGTTGGCCAGGATGGTCTCAAACTCCTGAACTCAAGTGATCCACCTGCCCCAGCCTCCCAAAGTGCTGGGATTACAGGTGTGAGCCACCGCACCCAGCTAATGCCTGAAATTTTTAAAGACAGCAATTAAGTTTAGAACTAGATTGTTGCCAAGTTCAAATATAATGAAAAAGTGATTTTTGATATGAGAAAAGATATTCAGTTCATCTGGGTCCCCATGGAGCCTCCCCTTTTCCACAATGCAAAGTGGCAGTCTACTTGCATCTGCATTGTCATTCTTAAAACCCAGAACTAGAGTCTCAGAGATTGGCATCCTCTTTAAACTCACATTATCTTTCTTTTGTTATATTTATTTTATTTTATTTTTCCATTAAGTTATTAGGGTACAGGTGGTATTTGGTTACATGAGTAAGTTCTTTAGTGGTGATTTGTGAGATTATGGGGTACCCATCACCCAAGCAGTATACACTGCACCATATTTGAGTCTTTTATCCCTAGCCTCCCACCCACTCTTCCCCCCTAGCCCCCAAAGTCCATTGTATCATTCTTATGCCTTTGCATCCTCATAACTTATATCCCCCACATATCAGTGAGAACATAGAGTGTTTGGTTTTCCAATCCTGAGTTACATCACTTAGAATAATAGTCTTTAATCTCATCCAGGTCACTGCAAATGCTGTTAATTCATTCCTTTTTATGGCTGCGTAGTATTCCATTGCATATATATACCACAGTTTCTTTTTTTTTTTTTTTTGAGACTGAGTCTTGCACTGTCACCCAGTCTGGAGTGCAGTGGTGTGATCTTGGCTCACTGCAACCTCTGCCTCCCAGGTTCAAGCAATTCTCCTGCCTCAGCCTCCCGAGTGGCTGGGATTACAGGCGCCCACCACCATGCCAGCTAATTTTTTTTTCTTTTTTTTTGTATTTTTAGTAGAGACAGGATTTCACTATGTTGACCAGGCTGGTCTCGAACTCCTGACCTCGTGATCTGCTCGCCTCGGCCTCCCAAAGTGCTGGGATTATAGGTGTGAGCCACCACACCAGGCCATACCACAGCTTCTTTATCCACTCATTGATTATTGGGCATTTGGGTTGGTGCCATGATTTCACAATTGTGAATTGTGCTACTATAAACATGCATGTGCAAGTATCTTTTTCGAATAATGACTTCTTTTCCTCTGGGTGGATTCCCAGTAGTGGGATTGCTGGATCAAATGGTAATTCTACTTTTAGTTCTTTAAGGAATGTCCACACTGTTTTCCACAGTGGTTGTACTAGTTTACATTCCCCGCAGCAGTGTAGAAGTGTTCCCTCTTCACTGCATCCATGCCAACACTACTGTGTTTTTTATTATGGCCATTCTTGCAGGAGTGAGGTGGTATCTCATTGTGGTTTTGATTTGCATTTTCCTGATCATTAGTGATGTTGAGCATTTTTTCATGTTTGTTGGCCATTTGTATATCTTTTGAGAATTGTCTATTCATGTCCTTAGCCCACTTTTCAATGGGATTTTTTTTTTCTTACTGATTTGTTTGAGTTCATTGTAGATTCTGGATATTAGTCCTTTGTCAGATGTATAGATTCTGAAAATTTTCTCCCACTCTGTGAGTTGTATGTTTACCCTGCTGACTTCCTTTTGCTGTGTAAAAGCTCTTTAGTTTAATTAGGTCCCAGCTATTTATCTTTGTTTTTATTGCATTCGCTTTTGGGTTCTTGGTCATGAAATCCTTGCCTAAGTCAATGTCTAGAAGGGTTTTTCCAATGTTATGTTCCAGAATTTTTATAGTTTCATGTCTTAGGTTTAAGTCCTTAATTCATCTTGAGTTGATTTCTGTATAAGGTGAGAGATGAGGATCTTTACATTATTGTTTGGTTTATCGAAGATCAGTTGGCTGTAAATATTTGGGTTTATTTCTGTGTTCTCTATTCTGTTCCATTGGTCTATGTGCCTACTTTTATACCGGTACCACACTGTTTTGGTGACTATGGCCTTATAGTATAGTTTGAAATCAGGTAGTGTGATGCCTCCAGATTTGTTCTTTTTGCTTAGTCTCAGTTTGGCTATGCAGGCTCTTTTTTGGTGCCATATGAATTTTAGAATTGTTTTTTGTAATTCTGTGAAGAATGATGGTGGTATTCTGATGGGGATGGTGTTGAATTTGTAGATTGCTTTTGGCAGGATGATCATTTTCACAATATTGATTCTACCCATCCATGAGCACGGGATGTGTTTCCATTTGTTTGTGTCATCTAGGATTTCTTTCAGAAGTGTTTTGTAGTTTTCCTTGCAGAGGTCTTTCGACTCCTTTGTTAGGTATATTCCTAAGTATTTTATTTTATTTTTGCAGCTATTGTAAAAGGGGTTGCGTTCTTGATTTGATTCTCTGCTTGGTTGCTGTTGGTGTATAGAAGAGCTACTGATTTGTGTACATTAATCTTGTATCCACAAACTTTGATGAGTTCTTTTATCAGTTCTAGAAGCTTTCTAGAGGAGTCCTTCGCGTTTTCAAGGTAAACGATCATATTGTCAACAAACAGTGACAGTTTGACTTCCTCTTTACTAATTTGGAGGTCCTTTATTTCTTTCTCTTGTCTGATTGCTCTGGCTAGGACTTCCAGTACTATGTTGAAGAAGAGTGGTGAGAGTGGGTATCCTTGTCCTGTTCCAGTTCTCAGCAGGAATATTTTCATCTTTTCCCTATTCAGTATTATGTTGGCTGTGAGTTTGTCATAGATGGCTTTTATTACATTAAGGTATGTCCCTGGTTTGCTGATTTTGCTGAGGGTTTTAATCATAAAGAGATGCTGGATTTTGCCAAATGCTTTTTCTGCATCTACTGAGATGATCATGTGACTTTTATTTTTAATTCTGTTTGCGTGATGTATCACATTTATTGACTTGCATGTGTTAAACCATCCCTGCCTCCCTGGTATGAAACCCACTTGATCATGGTGAATTATCTTTTTGATATGTTGTTGGATTTGGTTAGCTAGCATTTTGTTAAGGATTTTAGCATCTATGTTCATCAAGGATATTGGTCTGTAGTTTTCTTTTTTGATTATGTCCTTTCCTGGTTTTAGTATTAGGGTTGTGCTGACTTTATAGGATGAATTAGGGAGGGTTCCTTCTTTCTCTATCTTGTAGAATAGTATCAAAAGGATTGGTACCAATTCTTTGAACGTCTGGTAGAATTCTGCTGTGAATCCAACCGGGCCTGGACTTTTTTTTTGTTGGTAATTTTTTAATTACCATTTCAATCTCACTGCTTGTTATTGGTCTGTTCAGGGTATTTAATTCTTCCTGGTTTAAGCTAGGAGGGTTGTATTTTTCCAGGAATTTATCCATCTCTTCTAGGTTTTCTAGTTTATGTGCGTAAAGATGTTCATAGTAGCCTTGAATGATCTTTTGTATTTCAGTATTGTCAGTTGTAATATCTCCTGTTTCATTTCTTAGTGAGGTTATTTGGATTTTTGTTGTGGGAAGTCAGGGACCCCGAACAGAGGGACTGGCTGAAGCCATGGCAGAAGAATGTGGATTGTGAAGATTTCATGGACATTTATTAGTTCCCCAAATTAATACTTTTATAATTTCTTACACCTGTCTTTACTACAGTCTCTGAACATAAATTGTGAAGATTTCATGGACACTTATCACTTCCCCAGTCAATACCCTTGTGATTTCCTATGCCTGTCTTTACTTTAATCTCTTAATCCCATCATCTTCATAAGATAAGGAGGATGTATGTTGCCTCAGGACCCTGTGATGATTGCGTTAACTGCACAAATTGTTTGTAGAGCATGTGTGTTTGAACAATATGAAACCTGGGCACCTTGAAAAAAGAACAGGATAACAGCAATGTTCAGGGAACAAGAGAGATAACCTTAAACTCTGACCGCCAGTGAGCCAGGCGGAACAGAGCCATATTTCTCTTCTTTCAAAAGCAAATGGGAGAAATATCTCAGAATTCTTCTTCTCAGCAAGGAACATCCCTGAGAAAGAGAATGCGTCCCTGAGGGTAGGCCTCTAAAATGGCCGCTTTGGGGGGCGGCATCTTTTATGGTCGAAGCTGTAGGGATGAAATAAGCCCCAGTCTCCTGTAGCGCTCCCAGGCTTATTAGGACGAGGAAATTCACGCCTAATAAATTTTGGTCAGACTGGTTGTCTGCTCTCAAACCCTGTCTCCTGATAAGATGTTATCAATGACAATGCATGCCCAAAACTTCATTAGCAATTTTAATTTCGCCCTGGTCCTGTGGCCCTGTGATCTCGCCCTCCTCCATTTGCCTTGTGATATTCTATTACCTTGTGAAGCACATGATGTCTGTGACCCACACCCTATTTGTACACTCCCTCCCCTTTTGAAAATCACTAATAAAAACTTGCTGGTTTTGCAGCTTGTGGGGCATCACAGAACCTGCCAACATGTGATGTCTCCCCTGGACACCCAGCTTTAAAATTTCTCTCTTTTATACTCTTTCCCTTTATTTCTCAGACTGGCCGACACTTAGGGAAAATAGAAAAGAAACTACATGAAATATCGGGGGTGAATTTCGCCGTATATCTGGCTGAATTTCCCCTGATAGATTTTTCTCTCTTCTTTTCTTGATTAATCTTGCTAGTGGTCTAACAATTTCATTTATCTTTCCAAAGAACCAATTTTTTGTTTCATTTACCTTTGTATTTTTTTTTTGTTTCAATTTCATTTAGTTCTGCTCCAATCTTGGTTATTTCCTTTCTTCTGCTGGGTTTGGTTTGCTCTTGTTTCTGTAGTTCCTTGACATGTGACCCTAGATTGTCTGTTTGTGCTCTTTCAGGCTTTTTGATGTAGGCATTTAGGCCCAAAAACTTTCCTCTTAGCACCACCTTTGCTGTATCCTAGAGGCTTTGATAAGCTGTGTCATTATTGTCATTCAGTTTGAATAATTTTTAAATTTCCATCTTAATTTCATTTTTGACCCAATGCTCATTCAGGAGCACGTTATTTAATTTCCATGTATTTGCATGGTTTTTTTTTTTTTTGAAGTTGCTTTCCAGTTTTATTCCACTGTTGTCTGAGAGAGTGCTTGATATAATTTCAATTTTCTTAAATTTATTGAGGCTCGTTTTATGGCTTATCGTATGGTTTATCTTGGAGAAAGTTCCATGCACTGTTGAATAGAATGTGTATCCTACTTAGGATTGTAATATTTTTCTGTTGGACAAGGCCTTTTACCATTATATACTGTACCTCTTTGTCTCCTTTAACTGCTGTTGCTTTTAAGTTTGTTTTGTCTGATATGAGAATAGCTACCTCTGCTTGCTTTTTGATGTCCATTTGCATGAAATGTCTTTTTCCACCCCTTTACTTTAAGTTTATGTGAGTTTTTATGTGTTAGGTGAGTCTCCTGAAGGCAGCAGATGGTTGGTTGGTGAATTCTTATCCATTCTGTGGTTCTGTGTCTTTTAAGTGGAGCACTTAGGCCATTTACATTCAATATTAGTATTGAAATGTGAGGTACCATTGCTTTCACTGTACTCTTTGTTGCCTATGTACTTTGGTTTTGTTTTTTGTTTTTGCTTTTTAACTTGTATTTTTGTTTTATAGGTCCTGTATGATTTATGCTTTAAAGAAGTTCTGTTTTGATGTGTTTCCAGGATTTGTTTCAAGATTTAGAGCTACTTTTGGCAGTTGTTGTAGTGGTGATTTGGTAATGGCGAATTCTCTCAACATTTGTTTGTGTGAAAATGACTGTATCTTGGCCGGGCACGGTGGCTCACACCTGTAGTCCCAACACTTTGGGAGGCCAAGGTGGGTGGATCATGAGGTCAGGAGATCGAGACCACCCTGGCTAACACGGTGAAACCCCGTCTCTACTAAAAATACAAAAAATTAGCCAGGCGTGGTGGCAGGCGCCTGTAGTCCCAGCTAGTCGGGAGGCTGAGGCAGGAGAATGGTGTGAACCTGGGAGGCAGAGCTTGCAGTGAGCCAAGACCGTGCCACTGTGCTCCAGCCTGGGCGACAGAGCGAGACTCCGTCTCAAAAAAAAAAAAAAGAAAAAGAAAATGACTGTATCTTTCCTTCATGTATGATGCTTAGTTTCACTGGATACAAAATTCTTGGTTGATAATTGTTTTGTTTGAGGAGGCTGAAGATAGATCCCCAATCCCTTCCAGCTTGTAGGGTTTCTGCTGAGAAATCTGCTGTTAATCTTATAGGTTTTCCTTCATAAGTTACCTGGTGCTTCTGTCTCACAGCTCTTAAGATTCTTTCCTTCTTCTTAATTTTGGATAACCTGATGACAATGTGCCTAGGTGAAGATCTTTTTGTGATGAATTTCCCGGGTGTTTTTTGTGCTTCTTGTATTTGGTTGTTTAGGTTTCTTGCAAGGCCAGGGAAGTTTTCCTTGATTATTTTCCCAAATATGTTTTTCAGGCTTTTAGAATTCTCTTCTTCCTCAGGTTCACTGATTATTCTTAGGTTTGGTCGTTTAACATAATCCCAGACTTCTGGAAGGCTTTGTTTATATTTTCTTATTAGTTTTTCTTTGTCTTTGTTGGATTGGGTTAATTTGAAGACCTTGTCTTTGAGCTCTGAATTTTCTTCTTCTACTTATTCAATTCTATTGCTGAGACTTTCCAGGGAATTTTGCATTTTTAAAAGTGTGTCCAAGGTTTCCTGAATTTTTTATTGTTTTTCCTTTAAGCTATGTATTTCCATGAATATTTCTCCCTTCCCTTCTTGTATCATGTTTTGGATTTCCTTGCATTGGGCTTTGCCTTTCTGTGGTCCCTCCCTGATTAGCTTAATAACTAATCTCCTGAATTCTTTTTCAGGTAAATCAGGGATTTCTTCTTGGTTTGGATCCATTGCTGGTGAACTAGTGTAATTTTTGGGGGGTGTTGAAGAGCCTCGTTTTGTCATATTATGAGGGTTGTTTTTCTGGTTCCTTCTCATTTGGGTAGGCTCTGTCAGAGAGAAGATCTAGGGCTGAAGACTGTTGTTCAGATTCTTTTGTCCCACG
The DNA here is from genome assembly GCF_000001405.40 of Homo sapiens. NCBI lineage: Eukaryota > Metazoa > Chordata > Mammalia > Primates > Hominidae > Homo > Homo sapiens. Next base: position 76,738,682 of record NC_000012.12, read on the forward strand.
GTGTGTTCCCTTGTTGTAGTACTTTCCCCCTGTTCTTGTGGATGTGGCTTCCTGTGAGCCAAACTGCAGTGATTGTTGTCTCTCTTCTAGGTCTAGTCACCCAGTAAGTCTATCCAGCCACAGGCTGGTACTGGGGTTGTCTGCACAGAGTCCTGTGATGTGAACTGTCTATGGGTCTCTCAGCCATAGATACAGTGCCTGTTCCAGTGGAGGTGGCGGAGGGTGCAATGGACTCCATGAGAGTCCTTAGCTTTGGTGGCTTAATGCTCTATTTTTGTGCTGATTGGCCTCCTGCCAGTAGGTGGTGTTTTCCAGAAACCGTCAGCTGCAGTAGTGTGGAGAGGGACCGACGGTGGGCAGGGCCCTAGAACTCCCAAGATTATATGCCCTTTGTCTTCCACTACCAGGGTGGATAGGGAAGGACCATCAGGGTGGGGTTAGGTGTGTCTGAGTGCAGACTCTCCTTGGGCAGGTCTTGCTGTGGCTGATGTGGGGGATGGGGGCAAGATTCCCAGGTCACTGGAGTTGTGTACCTAGGAGGATTATGGCTGCCTCTGCTGAGTCATGCAGTTTGTCAGGAAAATGGGGGAAAGCCGGCAGTCATACGCCTCACCCAGCTCTCACACAAACTGAAGGGCTGGTCTCACTCCCACTGTGCCCACCTCAACAACTCCGAGTCTGTTTCCAGGCAGAGGGCAAGACGGGCTTGAAAATTTGCCTGAGGCTATTTGCCTCCCAGCTGTGAAACAAAAGGGCTCTAGTTCTTCCTCTGCCTGTGAAGTCTGCACACCGGATTCTCACCCTCCCCTGGTTCTGGCCAGGAGGCTTCTCACCCCCGTTCAAATTGTTGCAAAGTTCAGCTAGAGATTTCCTTCTCCCTGTGGAGTTTTACCCCCTGCTCCTCTGGCCGCCCTCCTGTTGGATCCCTGTGGTGCCAGGCAGGAATGGGCTGCTTGGGGACCCAGCAAGCTCCCAGGGCCTTTCTGCTGCTTCCTCTATGCCTGTATTTTGCTAGCCTCTCTAACTTGACTCAGCTCCAGGTAAAGTCAGAGACCTCTCAGAAATAGACCTTTAGCTTCTCCAGTGAGGGTGTGTGTTCAGGAGAGGAGGGTCTCCCTTTCCCACTTCTGCAGTTGGGGCACTCACAGTATTTAGGGTGTCTCCCGGGTCCTACAGGAGTAGTCCGCTTCCTTCAGAAGGTCTGTGGGTCCTTTCAGGATTGCTGGTTTGTTCTTACAGTTGATCTGCAGCTAAAATTCACAATGCAAGCCTCCGCGTACTATCTAGTCCTGCCTCCCATCCACCATGATGCCCTGAATCCCCTCACATCATTTTTCAAAAGCGGTACAATAATATGATTTTTTGTAGCTTTAAATCTCAAAAATATAAAAAAGAGAGGATGGTTTGGCTCAATGCCAACAATACGGAAAGCATCTTTTCAGAGGTTATGTAAGAACATAAGAGGTAAGAAACAAAATGATTATGCCATGTGTAAAACTAGAAAGCTGGGAGTGGCCCAGATCTCAGGGGCAGTTGTGAAAAAAACAAAAGATGGTAGTCACATGCAAAGAGAAAATCACTAGTTCTGGGGAGAGTTTAAGTACAGGAATACCACACAAAAATTAAGCGAAAGACCTATTTACCTTTGCTAAAATTCAAAGTAAATTAATCTCCAACATAGAGAAGATCCTTAGTATAACAAACCAACTGTTTTAGTTTTTGTATGCTTGTGGTGGTGGTGGTGGTTTTGGTTGCAAGTGTGGGGGTCAAAGGAGCACTCACCTTGACCCTCTGAAGTTTTATTGAAAAACCAAGTCTCAAAAGACAGATTAATGGAAGAAAAGGCATACAAATTTATTTAGCATGTATACACGGGAGCCTTCGGACCCAAAGGCACAGGTAAATTGTTCATTTTTATGCTTAAGTTCACCGGACTATGGACAGCCACACAGAAATACAAGTGGATAGGAAAGGTACGATCCAACGCTAACACCGAGTTGGGAAACCCAGCAAGGCCTGTCTGTCTAGATTCTTCTTGGCCTCTCTGTGCGGCACTCCTTCCCTCCGGGTATGGGGCAGGACCCTCTCTGGAATGGGGGTCTTATAACCTACAGTTAAACAAGCAGGTCAGAGAATTTCTCTATGGCCAGTTTTTACTCAGAAAAGGAGAGGGGTAAGTTAGAATAATATTTTTAGGTTTTATGGCTAGCTTTAGGGGAACAGGGTTCTGGTTGCTATGACGGCCTTGGGGAAGAGGGATTCTAACTTTTATGGTGAGCCTCAGGGAAGAATGAGATTGAGAGACCAGAGGGCAGAAAAGATCAGAGAAAAAACTTTGACTTCTGAAGTCTTCATTTGGGGATGTTGTTTTTTTGAGCCCCAATATAAGCTCACGGTCTTACTTCAACTAGTTCAGGCTAAAAAAGAATTCACCAGTTTATATAAAGGGAAGCTGAGGGATTAACAATCCTCAAGTATCAATGAGACCAAGGCTGACTCTTCAGGGCTCTGTCTTACCTTCCAGCTCTCGCATGCTTTTCTGAGTGTGGGCTTCCTTCTCAGGAAAGCTCTCCCTACCTGGTAGAAGAGAGGGCCGTTGGCAATATGTACACGAATAAGACATAATCTGCGTTCTTGTCTTCATCTAATAAAAATTAAGTCCATTTCCAGAGAATTCTATCTCTATTCCATTTACTTAAGCAACTATTCCTAATTTTTTTTTTTTTGGCCTATTTTCATTCTCTTTCCACATGTGACCATCGTAGTAAATTCCAGACTATACACAATTTTTTACCTTTTCACTTTATGTGATTTTATTTGCACCTGCCCAATAATATAATCTTTGTATTTTCATATAGCTGCCCATTGATTCAACCTACATTTTTAAAGCACAGTTTTCATTTGGAAATTCTGTGTTAGCTTATGGTGAAAGAGCTCATATCCTAAACAGGGTATCCTGAATTATCATCACAGGAAAAGGAAGTGCTAGGTCATCTAGAAACCTGCCCTTGGTTTGCTTCAGAGCACTTCTCTGTTGACTTCCAGAACATTTACTGATAACCTACTGTATGACAGTAGGCATTGTGCTAGGTGCTTGATAGATACGTGGATAGATAGATTCATATATATGTATACACTCATATATAAAAAAAAATACATATCCATTTCTTTTGCCTAAAATTTAAAATTTACATCTTGACATAATTTCAGATATGTCAACCAAAAGCCCACCATGGTGGCTAAACTGTAGAAAGAAGAGCTTTATTAGTGATACCAGTTTGAAAACTGAGAAAGGACAGTCTTTGGTGTATACTGAAGGTGCTCTCTTCAAAGAGGGAAAAGTCAGGTTGGTTTTATGCCTCACAGGGTCTGTATTACACAATAGAGTCACACATGTTCAGCAGGTTTAGGGGAATAGCTATATATATTTATGAGGGGAGTTGAGCACACATACAATGGGCAAACATGTATGTAACATATATCTCATGTTCATTTTGGGGAGGGGTTTTAGCATTAGAATTAGGTGGAATTGGCTCTTTACATCAAAAGGTAAACTATATAACACAAAGACAGTTTGTACGCAGTCTCTATAAACTAGTTGAAGCTGGCTTAAAGTCTGCAGTTGCTTATTAGGAAAGAATGTTTGTAACGCAGATTCTCTGTCCAATCAGCATTGCAGTGGTCTGGGTGGCAAATCAGAGTTAGGAGGGGTCTGATAATTTGCCTGGTAGCTCCTATTATTAGGGAGTTTAGCAAGAGTATAGAATTTTTTTTTTTTTTTTTTTTTGTAGCCATAGGGATTTAGGAAGTTGCCATGCCAGCCAAGCTCTGAACCCTCAACTTGTAGGTAACTTTTGCTTCCTTAACCTTAGGGTCTATCTTGGTTGATAAAGGGGCATCTATTTTGGTCGGTCAGATCACAGATCTTTGTTGCTATAACCATACAAAAAATTGCCACAAGTCCTTTACATTCTCAGATTCCTCAAACATTAACATTTTATTATCATTTTCTCTTTGAGCGTTTCAGACATGATACTCCATTATTTTTAAACACTTCATCATATATTTCCTGAAAACAAAGACATTCTTTTACATAACCATTGAATAATTATCAAAATCAGATAATTAACATTAATGCAAAAGTATTGTCTAATCTATAGATTATATACACATCCTTTCGTCCCAAAATAATGTCTATTATAACAAAACAAAGTCTGGATTAGATGTTGTATTCAATTTTTATTTCACTTGAACAATTGCCCAGTTTATCCTTCATGATATTGACATCTTTTAAGAGTGCAGACTATAAATTTTGTGCAATGTGCCTCAATGTGGGTTTATCAGATGTCTCCTCATGATTATGTTCAAGATATGCCTTTCGCTAGGAATACCAAAGAAGTGACGTTGTCTTCTTCTCAATGCATCATTTCAGGAGGCACATAATGCCAATTTATTCCGTGTCCCTTTTTAAAAAGTGCTCAGCATCTAGGATTGGTGACAGTCTCACAGAGCAATACCTGTGATGTAGTCCGATTAGTACAATAAGAGAGGTGTACAAGTTTGTCCAGCATCTCTTACTCCTTCCTCATATTCTCTTGGCTCACCTTTTTGCTCCACACATTGCTGCTGCTGCCAACTATGCTCTGACATCGCCTTGCCTCAAGTGCACGGAGCATCTCTTGCTTTTCTTGCTTTTTGTGGTGAGGCTTCTCTGCCACCACCACGTGGAATGCCTGCAGAAGCCCATCCAGCTATTTTGGCACATGCGCAGACTGGAAGAGTGAAGGAGTGGACATTTCCTAGGGCAATCTTCTACCACTGAAGGGTAGAACTCGTGAATCAATAATCTCTTCTGTGTCAGACAATTCTGACAATTCTGAGGCCCACTCTATGCAGTTTTTCAAAGGGCCCCCAGCATGACCACGCTCCAGTTTCCCATAGTGGTGACCAGCTCAATAACACACCGTTTGGATTTGCTTTCTTCCTTTCCGTTTACCATTTTCCCCCAGGTCCCTTCTCCTGTCTCCTGGAATCTCTTTCCAAGGTAAGCCCATTATATGCAAGCACTTGTCTCAGACTCTGCCTTTTGCGGGAACCTAAGACATTTGATATAAGGAGTAGACCTAGAAAGCAGACCTCTTGCCCCCAGGAAGGAATTCTGGAACTGAATTACTCACCAATCAGACTCCTCCACTTCTGGTGGAAAGAGTGTGCAGTGTCAACCCCTTGCCTGAATCAGCATCTCCAAGACTTTCACTGGTGGATGATAGGGATGAGGTATAGGTGGAAAGTCAAGCATTTGCTTATGGAATAGGGATGGCCTTTGAATGGTTTGAAGGCAATGGTAATCATAAGATACGTGGATTGGCTCACTTTTGTTAAGGGCTCCTTAAGACCGCCGCCGCTGTCCCCCACCCCCCAACCTTTTGTAAGTGACAGGTACAAGTTACCAACTTCCAAGGCAGGCCATGAAAAATGGAAAGTCTCTAAGGTAGTATTTAAAGAGATGCTTGTCTTCTGTATCCCTAGAGCAAACTGTGTTGATGATGAGACCCAGGATTGACCTTTAAGGTAACATAGCTACAAAGGAAATGCACTCCCTTGACAAGTCTTCTATGCCAAAGACAAGGCCCTGGTAGGGAAAGAATGGAATCCTGAGACCTGTAGTGTTAGGATTTAGGTGGACAAGGCTGAGAAATTTCCACTCCAAGATTCTTCTGAACTCTGTGTTGGAACAAGTAGCTCCCTCTGTTTTGCCGGAGCAGAACAGCCTCCCCTTGTGTGGAGACCCTGCAAATCCTTCAGATGAGGAATAGCGTATACTTAAACAAGGAATGGGAAAACTGGCTAATATTTACCTGCAGGAAAAGGGGATACAGGCATGGGAGTAGGTCTTAAAAGTGTTAGGCCAGGGAGGGGAGAATATAAAGGTGGACAGGAGAGAACATATTGACTCTGGAAAACACTTGGACTTTCATGATATGGCAAGGACACATGGAGCTGGACCTAATGTACTGCTGGGATGGTTCCCTGGAGCCTGGACAGGATGAGGGTCTATAGCAAATGAGGGAGAGATTCTAGAAGTACCTTGACTGCCTTGAGAAAGGTATCAGAAGGCTCTAGGAAGTTAGAATGTTAGAGTAAATTTGTAATATATGACCTGAGAGCCCATCATGTGACCAAATATTCCTTCTAAGTGTTCAGAGGACATACCCATCTCCAGGGAAGTAAGAAATACACTGGTGAGGGTGCCATTGGCATCTGTGGGAAGTTCCGTGGTGGCTATCCACTGTAGTTCACAATAAGAGATGCTGCTACTATGGAACTGGACTCCCTAATATCAACTGGGTTGACAAGAATCGAAAATAGCAAAGGCCAGATGGTAGTGCTTGACTGACAGAAGGAAAGAGTACATAATTACAATAATGGGCTGCAAGGCCAGAGTGGCAACCAGAATGCCTTCACCCACAGGGCTCTGTGATAGTGACTAATAAGACCATAGCATTTCTTGGGGCAAGTTAAATGAGCATCCACTATGGTATTACTTGATCTATACGCATAAAAAGAAAACACTGATAGCTGGTGAGCAGAAGGCTGATGTCAGCTGTCTCATTGGAAAATTGCAACCCCTCAGCCAGTTTACAGACCTAAGAGACTTCTCAGAACCAGAGCTCATCACCTGAAGGGAAAGCTGAGTAAATGCCCTGCAATAATAGCACAAGTATATTCACTACATATTTCCCCATTCATTCCACAAAAGGACACACATCTATGCTATCATTTGCATATTTGTCCCCTCCAAACCTCTTGTTGAAATTTGATCACCAGTGTTGGAGATAGGGCCTATTTGGGAGGTGTTTTGGTCATGGGCGTGGATCCTTCATGAATATATTAATGCCCTCCCTCAGGGATGAGTGAGTTCCCACTCCATTAATTCTTGCCAGAGCTGGTTGTTAAAAAGACCTGGCACCTCTTCCCTCTTCCTTGCTTTCTCTCTCTCCATGTGATCTCTGAACATACAGGCTTCGCTTCCCTTCCCTTCCCACCATGAGTGAAAGCAACCTGAGGCCCTCAGCATATGCAGATGCTGGTACCATGTTTCTTGTACAGTCTGTAGAACTGTGAGCCAAATAAATCTCTTTTCTTCATAAATTACCCAGGCCTCAGGTATTACTTTACAGCAACACAGACTAAGACAACCCATTTATGGAGAAACTGTATGTATTAGTCTGTTGTCACACTGCTATAAAGAAATGCCTGAGACTGGGTAATTTATAAATGAAAGAGGTTTAATTGACTTGCACTCCCTCATGGCTGGGGAGGCCTCAGGAAACTTACCATCATGGTGGAAGGTGAAGGGGAAGCAGGCACGTTCTTCACAAGGCAGCAGGAGGGAGAGAGAGAATGCAGGAAAAACTGCCATTTAAAAACCATCTGATCTCATGAGAATTCACTCACTATTATGAGAACAGCATGGGGAAAACCACCCCCATGAGCCAGTCACCTCCCACATGATCCCTCCCTCGACACCTGGGGATTACAATTTGGATTACAATTCAAGATGAGATTTGGGTGGGGACACAGAGCCAAACCATATCACTGTACATTGAAAAAAAAAAAAAGGAGGCTGGGCATGGTGGCTCACGCTTATAATCCCACCAGTTTAGGAGACTGAGGCAGGAGGATTGCTTAAACCCAGGAGTTTGAGACCAGCCTGGACAACATGGCAAAAACACATCTTTACAAAAAACACAAAAATTAGTTGGGTGTGGTGGCGCATGCCTGTGGTCCCAGCTACTTGGGAGGCTAGTGGGGAGGATTGATTGAGCTGGATAGGTAGAGGTTGTGGTGGGTAAGCTGTGATAATGCCACTGCACTCCAGCCTGGGAGACAGCAAGACTCTGTCTCAAAAAAAAGAAAAAAAAAAGACAAAGAAAAAAGAAAAAAAAAAAGGAAAGAAAAGAAAAGAAAAATAAAGGGAACCATTCAGACATTTCAAAGCTGGTTGCATAATAGGTTCTGAGCTAATGTTAATACCAGGAAGTTAGAAACATGGCTCCAAGTTGAGTGGGCACAGAGAACAGATGGCCCAGGTTCATCTCACCATGGTCTAACAGAGTCACAGACTCACCCTCTGCTTATATCCCTAGTTTCCCAAGTGAACAATTGGAATGGTTATATTAACAACTGGAAGAACCCTCACCTTGGTTTCCTGACGTGTAGTGAGAGTTATTATGATAGGAACAACCAGGGGAAGTCCCTGAAACTGCACACTCTCACTGGCTAAGACAGTGAATTAGAAGGAATACAACTTCCTGAGAGGAAATGCAAAGATTAATGTCACCTTCAAAGACTCAATGGATGTGGACATGTTGGGTCAATTTGCCTATTTAGTCTGTTTGGCCAGTGCAAAAACCAGATCCATCACAGGAAATAATGGTGGACTATTGCAAGCTTTACCTAAAAATAGCCCCAAATCATACGTGCTATGTGAGGGTTTGTATATTTACTAGAATATAACAACAGTCTTTGGTGCCTGATATGTGGATATTGCTCTAGTGAATAGGTTTCTCTCCATCCCTATGAATAAAAAGCAGCAAAAGAAGTTACCTTTTATGAGGGAAGAAGAGCAGCACACACTAGCACACACTCACTGCTTACTGCAGGACTATGTTAACTTTCTTGCTCTGCATCACAATATACATTGTCCATAGGTCACTGATCAGCTTGGCATTCTGCAGAATATTGTGCTATACCGATGACGTCATGCCAATGGACATGCTAGTCAGTGAGTAGCAAGGTGTTTTCACACCCAGTGGTAATCATAAATGAGAAAATGTAATAGCTCTTATCCAATAAAGCCAAAGCAACTAAGGGACCAGTCCCTCCAGGATGAAGAGCTGGACAATCCACTAGGCAAACAACCTAGGTCAAGTAGTGGTGGAAGTGAGAGAGGGTGAACATCAATTATGAAAACGATTACAACATCAGGAAGTGTTGCTTGTTCCTCCAACACTCTTGTATAATATCTTCCATAGGCATTGCTGTCAGTTATCACCTTGAAGGCTCTGTGATAGACTACATGTGATGAAGATTCCTAGCAGATCTGAGTAATACACAATATGGGGTATATCAGACATCTTTTGCTTATTTCATACCCATAGCTACCAGTTGAGCTAGGATGACATCTGATAGCTGCACTAGGTATCTTTTGCTTTCTACCCTGAGGCTTCTCTGCTGTGCAAACACAGGAGTATGAGGGAGCAAACACTCCCTGGTGCAACTGCATATCAGCAGGGGATAAGATTATCCCTTCTGGCCAGGCACGGTGGCTCACGCCTGTAATCCCAGCACTTTGGGAGGCTGAGGTGGGCGGATCTCCTGAGGTTAGGAGTTTGAGACCAGCCTGACCAACATGGAGAAACCCTGTCTCTACTAAAAATACAAAATTAGCTGGACGTGGTGGCATATGCCTGTAATCCCAGCTACTTGGGAGGCTGAGGCTGGAGAATTGCTTGAACCCGGGAGGCAGAGGTTGCGGTGAGCCGAGATCGTGCCATTGCACTCCAGCCTGGGCAAAAAGAGCGAAACTCTGTCTCAAAAAAAAAAAAAAAAAAAAAAAAAAAAGATTATCCCTTCTTCTGTGTCTCAGCAAACAATTCTGAATTCTGGCTCCTCAGAAGCTCTCCAGCAGGTCCAAGCCCCCCACTGCCTAAAAAGGTAACCAGCTCAATAATGCACCTCTGTATTGGTTTTCTTGTCGCAGTTTACTTCTGGTCTCCTACCCCCAACTCTTGTTCCCTGGTGTTACCTCTCAAAATAAATAAATGAGAGGGAACCCTTGTTCAGGTTCTTTTTAGGCAACCCAAGCCAAGACAACAAAGTAAGATAGAGCCCCAAATGTGGTCGTATAAGGTTTTTCAAAGAAAGTAACACTTGAGTTAGGTCTTAAAGTTTCACCTAAGAAACTGCCCAGGTGGACAAGAAGAAAGGGTGTTCCAAGTAGAAATAATAGCATGGACAAAGGCAATGTAGCAGGAAAAGTCTTCGTAAATTCAGGGAATTTCAAGTGTTTCACGATGGAAGGAGCAATAGAGTCATTTACTTGCGGTGGCAGGGGATGTTGGAAATGTAAACAAGAGTGAGATACAGAAGATTTTATGTGGCATGCCAACTGGGACTTCTTTTTGTAAACAACAAGGAAACAATTACGTTAATCCCTTTACCAAACCTTCTGCCTAACCTGAAGCAATGTGAAAATGAGCTCACTTTGCAACATTGATGCATGAGTTGCTGTTACCTATGAACATTCATTTAAAGATGAATCTGTTCTCAGAGAGCTGATTGAAATTTCTTGAGAAAATGTGTGGTAACATAAAACAGACATTGTTGACTACCTATCCAAATCCATTTCTTCTCCGCCTTTCCAACCTTGCTAGGGAAAGCCCCAATTTTGTTTGTGCTTTACTGACTACATAGTCTTGTGCTCAAGGGCGAGGCTCCTTGGCCTCAGGTGATCATCTAAGCCAGAGGTTGGCAAACTTTTCCTGTAAAGGACCAGAGAGTAAATATATTAGGCTTTGTGAGCCATATGGCCTCTGTTCCAACTACTGAATTCTGCTGTTGTAGTGTAAAAGCATTCTTTAAGAATACCTAAACTTTCTTTATAGATATTGAACTTTGAATTTCATGTAATTTTCTTACATCACAAAGTAGTCTTTTTATTTTTTACCAACCCTTTAAGAATGTAAAACTCATAGCTCACAGGCCATACAAAAACAGGCAATGGGACAGATTTAACCCATCAGCCACCGTTTGCCAACCCCTCATATAAGGTAATCAGGGTGGTTTCATTTCCTTTGCCAAAGATTGGTTTTAGCATGGACGTATAGTTAAGTCCTGACAGATGTGATCTGCAGATGTTCCTTAGTTCAAAAAAGAGGCCTATGAGAAGGAACAGTCCTTTTATTGCCTTGGATATGGCTGTGTAATGCATAATGCCCGGAGCTGCTGCAGCCATCCTGAGGACATGCGGTTTCTCACCTTTAGCAGAGAATAGCAGAAAAGAGAAAGGAATCTGACTGAATCTCCATGACATTACTGAACTGTTGAATTAGCCTGCAGCATACTTGGATCTTTATGATATTATGAAACTGTTGAATTAACCTGACTCTAAACTTCTTGATGTGAGAAATAATAAAGACTTTTATCATGCAGGCCACTTTATTTAACTGTTACTTAAAGCTCAAAATATTCTGAGTGAGATAAAAGGACCCAGGAGAATACTATGCAAGCCATTAAATAGAATAAAATAGAATTATAAGTGCTGCCGTGCAAAGATATCTAAGATGACCAGGCGTGTTGGCTCACGTCTGTAATCCCAGCACTTTGGGAGGCTGAGGTGAAAGGATCACTTGAGTCCAGGAGTTTGAGACCAACCTGGCCAACATGGTGAAACTCTGTCTCTACTAAAAATACAAAAATTAGCTGGGTGTGGTGGCGCATGCCTGTAGTCCCAGCTACTTGGGAGGTCAAGGCTGCAATGAGCCATGATTATGTCACTGCACTCCAGTCTGAGTGACAGAGCAAGACTCTGTCACCAAAAAAAAAAAAGAAATCTATCTAAGACAAATTATTAAGTGAAGAAAGCAAGGTGTGGAACAGTTTGCACAGTTAACATATCATGTTTTATGGATATATATGTATATATCTTAAGATTTTGGAAAAACTATGATTAATCATGATGAATTTTTGGAAGTGTTGTTGGAATGAGTGGGGAGGGAAAAAGTAGTTTTATTTTAATTATCTGTGTTACCTTATATTCTTAAAAAATGTTAATGTATGTGCAGTTATTACTTCTGGAATTAAAAAACTGATGTAAAAAAATCAAAGAAATGAAAAAAAAGTTGACTTTCTAGATAGGTAGGTATTTTGAATAGGATCCTGTGGGAATAAGACAATGGGACAACTCATTGCTGATGGCCTAAAATGGAATAAGGCCCTAAATTCAGATAAATGATTTCACTTTTATTTTCTTTTCGTAGCGAAATATCTTTAGCCATGCCATCTTCTCGCTGAGTGAAGCTTAGAAAGGTAAAATTTAGAGTAGAAAAGCAAGGAATACCAGATACTGCAACTACAACAGTTTAGGTCCTCTTATCTCTCTGGGACACAGAATTTCTAATGGAGTGCCTTTGGGTGTTAGTGCCTCTCCTCGTCTCATTTACCATGTGCATTAATGATTTAGAGGTCGGAAAAAGGGGTTTTACTGATGGAAGCGCTTTCTAAGGTTTCACCAGTAAGACTTCACCTGTCTGGGAATGATTTAGGTAAGGAAGATAAATAGACTGTTAAGAGACCTGAGAAAAATAAAAGAAGACCTATAGTAGGAGGGATTTAGGATAAAAATCAGGAAGAAATTTCTGATAGTAAAAACTGTCACAGAACAAAGCAGAGGTTAATTGCAGAAACTGTGGCCTTTCATTATGACAATTAAAAAGGAAATTATTGTCTATCTAGGATGATATTATTATTTTTATTAGAATTATATAGATGAAAGAGACTTTGGGCCTGGTGCAGTCGCTCACGCCTGTAATTCCAGCACTTTGGGAGGCCAAGGCAGTGGATCACCCGAGGTCAGGAGTTTGAAACCAGCCCGGCTAATGTGGTGAAACCCCATCTCTACTAAAAATACAAAAAATAGCCAGGCATGGTGGCAGGCGTCTGTAATCCCAGCTACTAGGGAGGCTGAGGCATGAGAGTGGCTTGAACCTGGGAGGTGGAGGTTGCAGTGAGCCGAGATCGTGCCATTGCACTCCAGACTGGGGGACAGAGGAAGACCCTGTCTCAAAAAAAAAAAAAGAAAAGAAACTTTGGAGAGCACTTAGAACAAACCCTTCATTTTACAGATGACAACTGAAGTTGAAAAACTAAAGTGACAAAGATCATAAAGTTAATTAACTGTAAAACCAGAACCAGTATTTGGTTTCGTATAATAGACTTTCTTCTACACCATATTTGCTGAGAATTATTTTGTCTGAAGACAGTAGGATAAACTAGATGACTTCCCAAATTTCTTTATAGGTTAAGTACAGCAGTCAAAAACTAAAGCTATAATTTATCATAAGCAAGGATTTTTCATGGATTTTTCCTGTGGGGTCCATGGACCATGCTTAGGGAATCCCTGAACCCTCCGATACTGATGCAAATTTGTGTGTATGTATGTCTGGAAATCTGTAGGTCCCCATGCCTTCCATGATGAACCAATCTAACAGCAAGTATCCTAAAAGTTGAATTTGAGATTAATTTCAGAGACTAAAATGAGGAAAAATCATGTAATGAATGAAGTAACCAGTTATAGAAAGAATATACCTCAACAATGAGCGGCAGATGAGTTAAGGGGACTCTCAGGTTCAGTGACTTGGAAATATTCTCTATAGCACCTGATTCTATCAGCATATCAAAAGCTAAGCAGTTGTGGAGGAAAACTCACATGTTTGGGGATTTCTGAGATATCCAAGGGGCTAACTATACCACAGACATTTTCTACTTTAATATCTGTTCCAAAAAAAAAAAAAAAGACCCAGAAAATTTACCAATTCAAAAACCAACAAATGAAGGGGACATACCTTTAAGTTAAAAAATGTAACATAAAAAACAGGCACACAAAGACATACTATGAAACGGAGCAGAAGAGAACTAATGGGTTGCATCCTCACTCTGCCCTCTCATCCATTTACCCACTTCAAGCTATACTGATAAATATACCAAATTCTGAGATTCACATGAATATCCCCAAATTTGTAGATAAGCAAACTCAATGGGTCTTCGTACATGTTCCATTTTCCCACTTTACATTGCTAGAAGTGGTTGAGAGAAAGGCAGGTGAGATGGGGAAAGTGAACTATGGGACTGACTCTCATGAAAGTGAAGGCTGTAGGGATACTCATTAAGATGTGGAAACTGATGTCTGGGGATATTCCCTTATGTAAATGAGATATAATTCTCACCTAGATGGAGTGAACAACAACTCAGCAAAGAGAGCAGGATTCAGGTTTTCTAAGGCAGCCTGTGTCTTGCTTGTCTCAGCCAAGTTTATTTCTTCCGCACCCTTTTTCTTGAGGTACATAAAAGTAAACAGAAGATGAAATACTTTGTCCTCAAACAGAAACTAACAATGAAAACCAAAATGGGCTCAGATATGGGGGGAAGAAAGTTAAAAAGTCCTCCACACAGTATTACAACCAATGAAATGGCTATCAGAGCTATCTAAGCCTGATCAAGATGAAAATAAATAGCATGGCAACTATGCAAGCACAGAGAACTTATGTAACTTTCCTCAGGTCATAGAATTAAGATGACAGTGCACGCAGGTAGTGTGTCTAGACTGAGAAGTCTGGATAGAAAAATATTTTGACTTACTAAACTGTCTCCTACATAGGATAAATCAGTTGGGCCAACTACAGTTAGAACTCCAACTCTAAGTTTGATTCCAAGGTGTAAATAAGCCAATGAGTGGAGCCCCTGGTTCCTGATGAAATAACCTTAGGACATAAACCAGTCAGGATACATCTCTACAATGACGGACCAGGAGCCTGGGGAAAGGGTCAGGGACAGCCAGGCTGGGGAAGATTCTGGAAGTGGTCTGATAACAGTCTAGGCCTACAACAGTTACCATACATCCATACTGTACTAATGAAGTCCTGATTAAAAAAAAGTTTACTCTTATTTTTTTTTTTTTGAGATGGAGTCTCCCTCTGTGGTGCCATCTCAGCTCACTGCAACCCTCACCTCCTGGGTTCAAACAATTCTCCTGCCTCAGCTTCCTGAGTAGCTGGGACTACAGGTGCACGCCACCACGCCCGGCTAATTTTTGTATTTTTAGTAGAGATGGGGTTTCACCATATCGGCCAGGCTGGTCTCGAACTCCTGACCTTGTGATCCACCCACCTCGGCCTCCCAAAGTGCTGGGATTACCGGTGTGAGCCACCGTGCCTGGCCAAAAGTTTACTCTTAAGGTCCTCCTCAACAGGAGCCTTGGCAGGGGTCCAGCATAGCTGAGTCAAAGCACTCAACACCATAACTGTCGCCCTTTTCATTCCTAAGGTAAGTGTATTTGACATAAAAGTGTCCTGGTGTAGGATCAGGGGTGGGAGGAAAGTAAACGTCAGGTAGGTGGGGCCAGTTCCTTCTTATTCATAACAGCCAAATCAATGGCCTTTTTTTCTTGTAAAGACAAAATGCAATGAATACCCAGTTTGTTCCCAATGTGAATTTGGGTGAGTGATGTGTGGACATTAGTTCTGTAGTCCAGGGGTCATTCAGAAAAACATAAATGACCTTAAGTATATGTCAGCATAGAAGAGGCAAGCAGAGAATAGGGAGAGGTGTGGAAAAGATGTGGGAGGTCATTGAGAGCATGTTTTGACTTTTTCACATTTTCCCCTAGTTTATACAGAAGGCCATAGCATAAAGCTTCTCTCAACTGCTTTAATTGCCTGATGGAAGCAATCTAAAAGGTTTATTTTTAATAAAAATTCATTTACTTTCTCTTACAGCTATGCATTAATTATAGCCAATTATAAAAATAGTTTCCTGACATTGTTGAATTGTCATAAAAAAGCTAGTAAATAGTGTATTTGACATTGGATCAGAGGGTTAATCTCAAAGCAACAAAAGTATGTCTTTCTGTCCAGTCATGACACATACTAGCATGTATCAAATTCATGGCCTATTAGCTGTTGTCTACATATTTGATTTCAGGAATTGTTGATGCATCATTAGTTGTTTGCAAACCACCTAATGTGTAGATGTCTACAGACTCTCCACACATTAGAGATCCTACGTAGTCATTATGTTAACTCACTGTAAAGGGTTAACTCACCTACCTCTTAGGCTTCCTATGAGGATTAAATAAAATAATATACATGAAGCACATGACTAGCCAGGAGTTTGAGACCATCCTGGACAACATGGCAAAAACCCCTCTCTACAAAAATACAAAAAAACTTAGCCAGACATGGCTGCACACATATGTAATCCCAGCTACTTGGGAGGCTGAGGCATGAGAACTGTTTGAACCCAGGAGGTGGAGGTTGCAGTGAGCCAATATCACACCACTGCACTCCAGCCTGGGCAACAGAGCAAGAGTGTCTCAAAAAAAAAAAAAAAAAGTGGATTTAATATTTTAAATGTTCCTAGATTTGAGCAACCTTTTTTGGATCACATATGCCTTTGAAACTCCAATGAAAGCTGCAGACTTTCTCCCTTGAAAAAATGTGCATACACATATAAGAAGGGCTTTCACTGATTGCTGTCTCAGTTGGCAGGAGGAGAGGGTCTTAAGCTTGTTCAGTCAAGCCTTTCTGATTTTCTTCTCTTCCCTCCCCATGTATGGGTGCTCAGGGGGTCCCTTTGGGCTTACAGGTGCCCTGGAACATTGCAGACGGTGCGAGTCAAATGGCAAAGAGTAAAACCTAGTGGCACTGCTGCCATGACCACACCTTGAGTTCCTAAGGACTAGTAAAATGATGGAGTGCTAGTGCAAAAGAGAAATTTGCTCTCAAATACAGAATGAGGCAAGGCTCTGGGTGTTGAGAAGTCTCTGATTCATGAGGCTTCTGAGGAATCTTGCTCTTGCGGGGGGAATCTTGTTTTCTTCTCTGAGTGCATTTGCCATTTCCTGGAAGCAGGATGCATTTTCAGACAAGTTCACATCCAGAATCCATACTCTTGCTCTCTTCCTACTTTAAAATATATACATTGTTGCTTTAAATACTCATTATTTCTTAACACAAAATCCCATTATCTTCTGTTTCATAAGGATATTCACGGCTCTTGAAGGCTGACCCCAAGTTATTAGCACTGATTCTCTTCACAAATGGGAACCGCTGTCTTCAAATTTCCTGGAGAAAAGAAATTTGCACACACCTCCTCCTCCTCCCGCAACAAAAATATCAACAAAATAGGTCGCACATTCCTTTTAAGGAAGCAAAGTTTAGAAATAAACCAGTTCTACTAAGTCAGGTTAAACATTTTGATCTTGCTGGATTCTTATACACATATAACTTTGTAAATGATTTTGGAGGTTTCAGGTTTTACACAATATACTATATTGTTGTATAACAAATTATTTCAAAATTTAGCGTCTTAGAAAAATACTTATTTTCACATAGTTTTAGTGTGTCGGGAGACCAGGTGCCGTTTAAGTGGGTGGTCCTGGCTCAGTCTCTAATAAGCTCATGGTTGAGAGGTCAGGTGCGGTTGCAGCCATCTGAAGGCTTCACTGGAGCTGGTGGATCCGCTTTTAAGGCAGCTCACTTTCATACCTGACAAGCAGTGTTGGTTCTTGGCAGGAGGTCTCAGTTCCTTGCCAGGCAGACCTCTCCACAGGGCTGCTTGAATGTCTTCATGATATGGCAGCTGGCTTCCCCAACAGCTACGGATCCAAGAGAGAACAAGGTAGAAACCATGATGCCTTTTATGCTCTGTACTCAAAAGTCACACACTATTTTCCCGCAATGTCTCATTGGTTCCACAGGTCAGCTCTACTCGCGGTGGGAGGGTGCAAAGACGTGCATACCAGGAGACAAGAGTCACTGGAGGCCCTTTTAGATGTTGACTGTCACATGTGCTAAATTCTACATATTCCCTTTAATTCTCTGGTCTTGTTTTATCTATATCACTCTAAAAAATATGAGTGCAAAAAGATTGTCCTCACTTCACTTAAAATAGGATTGTAGAGTACTGTTAGGTGTGACTTGTCAAAATAGCAAAGCTTGTGCCTCATTCCAGCTCTAAGTAGTCAGTATTTATTTTGTCCACAATCCAATGAAACACAGAAATTTGTGAAATGGCTTATAGGAAAAACTTATAATTAAATAACTTGGTTAGAATTCAAAGTGTTATGATTATTTATTTAGTTGAGTCAAATAATATAAGTGACAGCTTAAAAAGTATCTCTGACTATGTTGTGGTGATTCCAACATTTACACAGAACAAATGTTTAATAAATAATTGTTAAATTTTAGAACTAATAAGTGAATACAGGGCCGGGCATGGCGGCTCACGCCTGTAATCCCAGCACTTTGGAAGGCCGAGGTGGGCGGATCACCTGAGGTCAGGAGTTCGAGACCAGCCTGGCCAACATGGCGAAACCCTGTCTCCACCAAAAAAATACAAAAATTAGCTAGGCATGGTGACATGCGCCTGTAATCCCAGCTACTCAGGGAGGCTGAGGCTGAGGCAGGAGAATCACTTGAACCCGGGAGGCGGAGGTTGCAGTGAGCCGAGATCGCGCCATTGCACTCCAGCCTGGGCAACAAGAGCGAAACTCCGTCTCGGAGGGGAGGGGGCATTTGGGGGAATGAATACAATAAAGTTGTAGGATGAAAAATCAACATACAAAAATCAGTTGTCTGGCTGCCCCACACTCTACTGACGCGGCCGCTGTCTCGGCTGCTGTGTGCCGCCTAGGTGTCTGGGTGATCCATGGGCAGCAGCAAGGGCCACGATGACAGACCATGACGAGGAGCAATGCAAGAGCTAGAGGCCCAGGAGTCCATCTACCCTAACTCCTTCATAGTATTATCATAAAATCCACCCGGCTTCACCATTACTGTGACATCTGAGGCTGGAGAAAATGATGAAACTGTCCAGACTACCCTCACGTTTACATACAGTGAAAAATACCCAGGTGAAGTTCTCCTTTATGAAATATTCCCTCCAGAAAATCTAGAAGATAATGATGTCTCAGACATTTTAAAATTACTAGCATTACAGGCTGAAGAAAATCTTGGTATGGTGATGATCTTTACTCTAGTGACAGCTGTGCAAGAAAAATTAAATGAAATAGTAGATCAGATAAAAACTAGAAGAGAAGAAAAGAAACAACAAGAAAAAGAAGCAGAAGAGGCTGAAAAGCAATTATTCCATGGCACTCCAATTACAATAGAGAATTTCTTAAATCGGAAGGCCAAGTTTGATGAAGAATTCTTGGAAATTAAAAAGAAAAGGATGAAAGAAGAAGAACAGCAGGAAAAAATAAATTAAGTTGGAAACAACTATTTGAAACAGATCATAATCTTGACACATCTGATATCCAGTTCTTGGAGCATGCTGGAAACAACGTGGAGGTAGATGAGTCTTTGTTCCAATAAATGGATGACTTGGAGCTGGAGGATGATGAGGATGATCCAGACTACAATCCTCCTGACCCAGACAGTGACTCAGCTGACTAATGGACATCCCCATCTGCAGAGAGGCTTGACTGCCACAGCATCTGTGGCTATGCTCAGAGGGTTTTGATTTTCCTTTCTTTTTTTCTAAGAAAAAATTATTTTCAGGATAATATTCTTCTGATAGTTTTCATCATTGAACTTAAAAAACTGACCTTAAAATTAAAAAAAAAAAATCAGTTTTGTTTGTACACACTAACAATGAACTATTTGAAAAGAAAAATTAAGAAAACAATCCCATTTATAGTAGCATCAAAAAGAATAAAATACTCAGGAATAAATTTAACCAAGGAGGCAAAAGGCTTGTATGCTGAAAACTACAAACCACTGATGAAAGAAATGAAAGAAAACACAAATGGAAAGACATCCTGTGTTCATGGATTGGAAGAATTAATATTTAAAAAGTGTCTATCCTACTGTAAGTGATCTATAGATTCAATGCAACCCCTATTCAGTGGTGTTTTATATAGAAATAGAAAAAAAAATCCTGAAATTCATATGGGACCACAAAAGACCCTGAATAAACGAAACACTCCTGAGAAAGAACACAGAAGCATCACACTTCCTGATTTTAAAATATATCTCAAACCTAAAGTAATTAAAACAGTATGGAACTGGCATAAAAACAGACATACAGGCCAATGGAACAGAATAAAGAGCCTCCAAATAAACCCACACATATACTGTCAACTGGTCTTTGATAAGGATGCTAAGAATACACAAAGGGGAAAGGACATTTTATTCAACAGATGGTGCTGGGAAAAGTGGATATCCATATGCAAAAAGGATGAAATTGGACCCTTATCTTGCACCATACAAAAAAGTCAGCTTTAAATAGATTAATGACTGAAATGTAAAATATAGAACTGTAAAACTGTAAAACACTTAGAAGAAAACATAGGTGAAAATTGCATGACATTGGGCTTGGCAACAATTTCTTGGATATTACAGAAAAAGCACAAGCAACAGAAGCAAAATTAGACAAGCAGAATTAAATTGAACTAAAAAGCTTCTGCACAGCAAAGGAAACAGTCAGCAAAGTGAGGAGGCAACCTACAGAATGGGAGAAAATATTTATAAATCATATATACGATAAGGGATTAATATCCAAATGATTCAATGAACTCCTACAACTGGAGAGCAAAAACCCCCAGAAAATCCAATTAAAAAATGGACAAAAGACTTAAGTAAAAATTTCTCCAAAGAAGAAATACAGATGACCAGGTATATGAAAAGATGCTCAACATCACTAATCATCACGGAAATGCAAATCAAAACTACAGTGAGATATCACTTCACACCTACTAGGATGGCTACTATGAAAAAAAAAACACAAAACATAAGTGTTAGCAAGCATGTGGAAAAACTGGAACCCTTGTACACTGTAATGTAAAATGGTTCAGCAGCTATGGAAAATGGTATGATGGGTCTTCAAAAAATTAAAAATAGACCTACCGTATGATCCAGCAATTCACTTCCGCTTATATATTCAAAAGAATTGAAATTGGGATCTCAAAGACATAAAACACACTCTCATGTTCATTGCAGCATTATCACAATAGCCAAGATATGGAAACAACCCAAATGTCTATTGATGGATGAATGGATAAAGTGTGGTATATACATACAATGGGATATTATTCAGCCTTTAAAAAGAAGGAAATTCTGCCATATGTGACAACATGGATGAACCCAGAGGACATTATGCTAAGTGAAATAAGCCACTCACTGAAGGCCAAAGGTGAAGTATCTAAAATAGTCAAACTGATAGAAACAGTAGAATGGTGGTTGCCAGGGCCAAAGGTAGAAGGATATGGGGAGGTGCTGTTCAATGGGTATAAAGTTTCAGTTATATAAGACGAATAAGGTCTAGAAATCTGCTGTACACCATTGTGCCTATGGTTAACAATACCCTATTGTGCACTTAAAAATTTAAGAGAGATCGGCCGGGCACCGTGGCTCACGCCTGTAATCCCAGCACTTTGGGAGGCCGAGGCGGGTGGATCACGAGGTCAGGAGATCGAGACCATCCTGGGTAACGGTGAAACCCTGTCTCTACTAAAAATACAAAAAATTAGCCGGGTGTGGTGGCGGGCGCCTGTAGTCCCAGCTACTCGGGAGGCTGAGGCAGGAGAATGGCGTGAACCTGGGAGACGGAGCTGGCAGTGAGCCGAGGTCGCACCACTGCACTTTAGCCTGGGCGACAGAGCAAGACTCCGTCTCAAAAAAAAAAAAAAAAAGAAATTTAAGAGAGATCTTGCGTCAGGTGTTCTCACCACAAAAAAACCTTTTTTTTTTTTTTTTTTTTTTTTTTAAGACAGAGTCTTGCTCTGTCGCCCAGGCTGGAATGCAGTGGCGTGATCTCAGCTCACTGCACATGCCGCTCCCGGGTTCACGCCGTTCTCCTGCCTCAGCCTCCCGAGTAGCTGGGACTACAGGCGCCAGCCACCATGCCCGGCTAATTTTTTGTATTTTTAGTAGACATGGGGTTTCACCGTGTTAGCTAGGATGGTCTCGATCTCCTGACCTCGTGATCCACCCGCCTCGGCCTCCCAAAGTGCTGGGATTACAGGCGTGAGCCACCGTGCCCGGCCCACAATAAAAAAAATTAAATGGACCAAGTAATAATTCATTGAGGATAATAACAACAGAAGAAACGTGGTAGAGGCAAAGAGTAGTAGATGGGGAAAATTCAGGAGGCTTCCAGATGATTCTGCTACCACCTAGTTTTGTAACTTTAAGAGAGTTTCTTAAATTCCCCATCATTTCCTTTTTTGTGAAATGACTAAATCTGGATAATCTCTATGCTGTCTTTAGCTCCAGTAGTGTCTGAAGTTACATATGAAACTATATTTATACAACAATGCCCCATGCCTTCCAATCTGTTTGCTTCTAAATCCATTTCACAATTATTCTCTAACAAGGTCTATTTTTCTCTTTGAATTTTATTCTTTTTTAGCCACTATTCTGCATTCCTCCATAATTCTATGCCATTCTTTTGCCAGTCTATCCAATCAGTGTACTTTCTTAGCTGTCTCCTTAGTCCCCTGAATATATTTTCTCAATTTGAGCTATAGATAAGAACTCTACAGTTATCAAGATGGACTCTGATCATATCTAAAGGGTTTGCTTCAAGATTCAACTTCAACATGTTTTCCTAAGCATGCCTGCTTCTGCTCTTGATCTCTTTCTTCAGTTCTTCATTTAATAACTATTTATTTTAGTGCTCCAGCAGTAAGCAAGACAGACATGGACCCTGGTTATGTTGTTCCAACTTTTCGGCTGCTTTTAGTATTTTCCTTATATTTGAATTGTGGAATTCTCAGGAGTAAAAATATCCACAGAGCCAGGCAGGTAATGAGAACGAGTAAAGCAGGCCATAGACCTGGTAGAGACTGAGCAAGAAGGTCAAGATGGCTTGTTTGCCAGATGAACTAGAACTCTAGATTTTAAAGTGAACTCTGATTTACTGATTTTCGCAGGGAAGGCTAAACATTTCTTTTATGAATACTCCACATCATATACCTGTACCAATATTCCTAATACATGGGTACCTGAAACATTTTCTCCAGTTTTCCATGCCTAGTTTCTTTACACTCTCACTTCATTCAATGCTTTATTAATATTTATGCCACTTAACTTTTTCAGTCGGTGTCCTTTATTTACTCTAATCTTCTATTTCTAGTCAATGCAAGACATAAAGGTAAGGAAGGGCAAGATTCAAAATTGAGATTTTTGGCCGGGCGCAGTGGCTCACGCCTGTAATCCCAAGATTTTGGGAGGCCGAGGTGGGTGGATCACGAGGTCAGGAGTTCGAGACCAGCCTGACCAACATGGTGAAACCCCATCCCTACTAAAAATACAAAAATTAGCAGGGCATGGTGGCGCGCCCTTAATCCCAGCTACTCAGGAGGCTGAGGCAGGAGAATCGCTTGAATCTGGGAGGCAGAGGTTGCAGTGACCTGAGATCTCGCCACTGCACTCCAGCCTGGGCCGCAGAGCAAGAAAGACTCCGTCTCAAAAAAAAAAAAAAAAAAAAAATTGAGATTTTTGGCTGGGTGCGGTGGCTCACGCCTGTAATCCTAGCAATTTAGGAGGCAGACGCGGGTGGATCACCTGAGGCCGGCAGTTCCAGACCATCCTGACCAACATGGAGAAACCCTGTCTCTACTAAAAATACAAAATTAGCCGGGCATGGTGGCGCATGTCTGTAATCCCAGCTACTTGGGAGGCTGAGGCAGGAGAATCGCTTGAACCTGGGAGGTGGTGGTTGCAGTGAGCCGAGATCGAGCCATTGCACTCCAGCCTGGGCATGAGTGAAACTCAGTCTCAAAAAAAAAAAAAAAATTGAGATTTTTGAGTGAAAATGACTTATGTCCATGTTAACATATGACTGAAAACAATTCGATGCTCCAAGGGCCGACCCTGAGACTATCTAGCTGTAAAAGATGACTCCTAGTTTGGGCCAGGACGAACAGAATGAAAATCAGCTCGGACTGAAATGAGAAAAAGTAGTTGTGCTGGGAGGACAGATACAGAAAAAGCCAGCAGCAAAGTTAACTGAGAAACTTCTTTCTCCCACAGCCGTGCAGTAGCTATGACACGCCATATTCACCCCTCTTTGAGTAACTGCTGCTCTTACTAGTGTTGCTACTTTATTACTGGAGGTACCTAATTACTAAATTGCTGTATCCTCAAGACAGCATCCAATCCCTCGTAAATCCCAGCTTTTCTTCATGCCGCCACGGAAACGGCGTCCCATGCAGAACTGATTCTGGCTCTCCTTAGACCCTCCTCAGACTCCTTTGGCGGGAAACTAATCTTACAAAGGAGGCTTCCTCTTTCCTTTTCCAGTGGCATTCCAAGCTTCCTTTGGAGTGCCCTCCCTCCTGATTTACAAATTGGCCTGACGTTATCGGAGTACAGGCTTTTTCCTGGTGGTTTCTGGCCTAACAGGAGACAGATTAGTAAGTACCAGGATCTCTAATAGGTCAACTTTCATGATCTCTGCTAAATTCTCAGCTGTTTAGACTTACAATTTTTAACAGCTAAAAGGAAAGACAAATGCTATCTAAAACTGTCCCATCAGCCCATTTACAGGGAGCACCTCCCCCATACCGCCCTAAAATCCTTTAAAAAATGGCTTTAGTCATTTTATCTGCCTTGCATTTAAGCGAATTCAGTTTAAGTGGCTTCAGTTCTGAATTCCTGGATTATATCGAAATGTTGCAGATGGCGGTGTGTGGGCTTTGAGCTCGTAAATTTTTTGTGTGGTACTAATTCAAGACGATTGAGAGCAGGTTGGGATCATTTTAAAAAGAGTTCTCGGCAGGGTGTGGTGACTCAAGCCTGTAATCCCAGCACTTTGGGAGGCCGAGGCGGGCGGATCGCTTAAGGTCAGGAGTTCGAGACTAGCCTGGCCAACATGGTGAAAACCCGTCTCTACTAAAAATACAAAAATTAGCCGGGCGTGGTGGCGTGCACCTGTAATTCCAGCTACTCGGGAGGCTGAGGCAGGAGAATCGCTTGAACCGGGAGGCAGAGGTTGCAGTGAGCTGAGATCGCGCCATTGCACTCCCGCCTGGGCGGCAAGAGCAAAACTCTGTCTCATTAAAAAAAAAAAAAAAAAAAAAAAAAAAAAAAAAAGGGTTCTCTAGTAGGAAGTCCCGAGTTGTATCCATGTTTTTCCGGGCGTCCCCCGGAGGGACAGGTTGCGGGTGACCTTTTCAAGTGTGGAGGAAAGGGAAGCTGCTTTTGTCTTCAGGAATGATGCAGGTCTCGACTCAAGCCTGACGGGCCCAAACCTCCCTGGAGCTGGCTGACGACTCTGCCCGAGTTCCTGAAGAGGGGTCCCGGGGGTCCCGGAGCGGAAGTGGGAGCGCGTGGGCGTGGGCTCCTCGGCTGCCTGGGGCTCCAGACTTGTGCTGCGTGCGGCTCCGGAGCTCTGTTCTCGCTCCTGAGCAGCTGCTAGGTTTCCCAAGCGACTGTCTCAACCGCCCGGCCGCCTCCCCCGGGCAGCCAGAGCTTCACATCTACCTCCAGCCGGGACCCGCCCCCGAGCCGCGGGGCCCACGCCCAGAGCCCTCCGCCGTCCCCAGCGCAGTGCAGCAGAGCGCGATCCAGTCTGGGGCCGGGCCGCGCTTCCGCGCACGCGCGGAGAAACCCGCGCCCTCCGAGGGGGGAGGGGACAGAGGGGGCGTCACGGGGGCAGGAGAAGAAGGAGGAGGAGGCCCGCGTCGCCTCCGGCGGGGCTCGCGCTCGCCCCGCGCTCGCCCTCCGCCTCGCCCGAGCCCCGGGAGGGTGAAACGCTTTCTCCCAGCATGCAGCGGGAGGAGGGATTTAACACCAAGATGGCGGACGGCCCGGATGAGTACGATACCGAAGCGGGCTGTGTGCCCCTTCTCCACCCAGAGGTGAGGAACCGTGCTGAGTGGATTCCTTGCCCTGCGGCCCTCCAGCCTTTCTTCCCCGGACTCGCCGAGGGCGGCGGCCGACGTGTGTGGGGTAGTGGGACGTGCCGAAGTTGGGGAGGGTGGGGAGGCGAATCCAGGCCTGAGCGCGGCTGCGAGCGGATAACGGGGGAGGAGATAGCGGGGCGGGCCCGACCGGGGCGGGCTCTGGGACGCAGTCCCTGGCTGTGCCTGGAGGACAGAGGTGGAGGTGTTGATGGTTCTGCTGTGTCGCCGCGCTGCGTTTGAGAGCAGAGGCGGAGGGGCCTGGTGTGGTTTTTGAACCGCAGCTTAGACCCTAGTCTTGCTCCAAGCCTCTTGGGGCCAGGTGGAAGCGCGTCTGGTTTTGATTTCTTTTTCCTTCGCCAGGGTGAATGACGGTATCTATTGCTTCCTTTTAGTCCACTGTGAGGGGACAGTTTCATGGGCATAGTGATGTCCTTCCAGGTAATGCCATGGGTAGCACCTCGGGCACCTTGTGTCGGGCGTCCTTTTTTGAGCATTTGTCCTTAAGCGATTAAGAAGAGAGGTAAAAACTTTTGGGAATAGACTTACACTCACATTAGCTTGTCAAAGTACCGTTTTTCTAGGAGCTAGGGGTGGACAGTGCAACACGTTTCCCATCACAACATGAGTGTCTTCCCATGTAAGTAAACAGTGCCCCGCTCCACAGTCAGTCAGTCTGTGCTTGTTTACCTCCGAGTTTGTAGCTGAGCTAGTGCTAGTTAAGGCTTGGAAGCAATTCTTGATGCATTCTGATTTTTAGTGATCCACAGTGATGTCTGTATGCGGCAGCGGCACAGTTTGCTGAAGAACTCGGGTAGTTTTCATGAGGTTAAAAGATGACAGTCGTGTTGTAGGATGAACAAACATGGAAGTCTCTACCTGGTTACTTTGCAATGGAGTGATTCTGTTTTTTTCTGGATTTGGGTTTGTACCATGCCACTAGTTTTTGTTAAAAAGTGAATAATGACAACCATCCTTTTATGTTGCATGTTAACACTCAACCACCCTCTCATTCGTCACTTTGGTTTATCAAAAACACATGGGACAGTTCCTTCGGAATATATACCTGTGCCAGTCTCAGTAGAAAAGGCTACTCTGGGTTTCTGATAAACAGAACTATACAGTAAGACTAAACACTTGTCTGACCAAAGTGGTAACATTTTCAGAACTGGCATTGTAGACATCTCTTTTGGTTCACTTAGGCCCTAACATACGTCAGGAAATAGACAAAGTAGTTTTCAGATGTTGCCTTGAAAATGTTGCTAAGTGATTTCTATTCATCTGTTCCTGTGAAAGTATTCGTGAAAGTATTTCAAACACTTAAGTGTTTATCCAGTTTATTTTTTTGAGACGGGGTTTCTCCCTGTCCCCCAGGCAGGAGTGCACTGACACGATGACAGCTCACTGCAGCCTCTACCTCCAGGGCTCAAGTGATCCTCTCCCCTCAGCCTCCTGAGTAGCTGTGACCACAGGCTCGCGCCACCATACCCGGCTGATTTTTTTATTATTTGTAGAAGAAGAGGTCTCCCTATGTTGTCTAGGCTGGTCTTGAACTCTTGAACTCAAGTGGTCCTCTCACCTTAGCTACTTAAAGTGCTGGGATTACAGGCATGAGCCACCATGCCAGGCCTATCTTACGTATTTTAGCATACTGTTCTTCATAAACCTTTGCTTTGTAATATAGTACTGTTGTTTGCTACTTTAAGAATAATTTTAACTGGCAACAAATCCAGATTATTTGGTGTAGTAGAATGGCCAGTATAGGCTTGAAATTTAGCTACCGATCTTCAGGTTGCCATTCGATAGATAGGATATTACTAGAAAGTCAACCTCCTCATCATTGATAGTGGGAATTGGCATACATAATATATACCGTTCCTTTTTACCCAAGAAGCACAAGGTCTGATTATTTTAATACTTTGGATGGACCTTAAGCTTGTACTACATGGCTGAGGTCTTTCTGCATTTTCTGTGGTTAGTGTGTGCAGCTGGTGCAGACCTGGGGTAGTTCTGCTGCCTCCTAGCAGTGTGTTCTTGGGCAAGCTATGAATACGTCTCTGAGTTCTAGTTTCATCATTTATAATGGATAAAAATAATAGTTAATAAGCTATAGCGAGGATTAACTGAGATAATATGTTTTTGTTGTTAAAATAAGCAGTGTTTTCAGTCTCCTTTGGGAAGAAACCCATTCTCTGTCTTGGTAAGTAATGAAATAATAGTACTTTTAACCTCTTTTTGGAGAGAACATAGACTTTGGGTCAGACAGACTTGGATTCTAATTCTGGAAATTCGGTAACTAGCTAAGTGACCTGAGACAAGTGCTTAATTTCTTTAAGCTTCAGTTGTAATCAGAAAATGGAGATCCTGGCTGGGCTCGGAGGCTCACACCTGTAGTCCCAGCACTTTGGGAAGCCGAGGTGAGAGAATCACTTGAGCCCAGGAGTTCGAGACCATCCTGGGCAACATGGCAAAACTCTGTGTCTACAGAAAATACAAAAATTAGCTGAGCATGGTGGTACACGCCTGTAGTCCCAGCTAATCGGATGCTGAGGTGGGAGGATTGCTTGAGCCTGGAAGGTTGAGGCTGCAGTGAGCCATGATCGAGCAGCTGTACTCCATCCTGGGTGACAGAGCAAGATTATGTCTCAAAAAAAAAAAAAAAAGAAAAGAAAAGAAAATGGAGATGCTGCCTAGTTTACTTGGCTGTAAGGGATTAAGTGAGGCTATATGTTGAGGGTCAAGAACTGGCACATTGTAGGTGCTCAGTTAATGTTACTTCTTTTTTCTCTACCAGAAGAAAGGGAAGTGTTACACATTTATTTTGGTTTTGGTGACTGATTTAAAACTTATGTGGGTTTTAATTTAGTGGAATAGGATCTTGCAGGAACAAATTTCATTTCACTTTTTATCTTCCAATTTAATACTCTCACACAAAAACAGTTTTTCACTTTAGTATTTGTTAAGCAGATGAATTATTTGTGGGTAAAGAAATGAGCATTGCTTAAATCTCTTATTAGTATGCAAACTGCCCACTGTTAAAACCTTTCTTAGAGGATTATACAATTAGATAAACGCCTTTTTAGAGGTATTTTAGGTAAGATAATCTTACTTTTTAATGAATTAAATCATCCACTCATTTAGTTGGTCATTTAAACATTTGTTTGTCATGTTTGGGTAAGGAATTGTGCTGGAGTCTGTGTGAGACTTCAGGATATTTTTGGTGTTCAGTGAGAGGCAGTGTAGAATACTGGTTAAGAGCCAAAGTTGGCTGGGCGTGGTGGCTCACGCCTGTAATCCCAGGGTTTAGGGAGGCCGAGGCGGGCGGATCACCTGAGGTTCGGAGTTCAAGACCAACCTGACCAACATGGAGAAACCTTGTCTCTATTAAAAATACAAAATTAGCCATGCGTGGTGGCACATGCCTATAATCCCAGCTCCTCAGGAGGCTGAGGCAGGAGAATTGCTTGAACCCGGGAGGTGGAGGTTGCAGTGAGCCGAGATTGCACTCCAGCCTGGGCAACAAGAGCAAAACTCTCTTAAAAAAAAAAAAAATCCAAAGCTGTGGTGACAAACTGAAAATGTAGCTTCTGCAGCTTACTGTTATCATGGTCAAAGTACATTTTTCTCATTTGTAAAGTTGGGTTAATAGTGACACCTTTTACAGTTATTGTGAATATTAACTAGGCTAATGTTTATAAAGCAGTTTTCATAGACCTAGGCACATAGGCTGCCAAGCAAATTGTACCTTCTGAAGGCCCTGGCATATAGTGAATACTGAAAGGGAAGCTGCTGTTACTTTGTTTTCTTTTGAAATAGGTGATTATTTGTTTTATTGAAATGAAAGAAATTAAAGGCTCTTTGGATAAAGAAGAACTGATGATCAAGGGATTAGGGTACTAGTTCTAGCTCAGTGACCTTGAGCTAGTAGGTATTTAACTGGTCTCAGTTTTGTTGCTTTTAAGATAAAGTAGCTAGACTAGATGACCTCTAAGATTTCTTCAGACTCAAGTGTTCTGGTTTTAAATTGTGATTTTTCAATATAATCAACTTGAGCATCTGTCTACTAGGTACGTAGCATTGTGTTAGGTTATATGGGTTAAAATAACATAAAAAAGATAGCATATGTTTTCCAGAAGGTAAATAACTAGTTGGGAAGTTGTAGGCACGTGAAACACTGGACGATTCAAATAAGTACTGAATTAAGTAATGTAGCTTGTAAGTGGTGTCAGATTCCTGTCATTTAGAGTGGTTAGAAGAAAGGCTTCCGTAGAGGGACAGAGACCATATGTTGGTCTACTGGTCCAGCAGACTAGCCATGACCAGCTTCCATTTTACCTACTAGTACATCCTCAGTAAGTCATCTCAGCTCTTTGATAGAATGAGATCACAATATCCCCTTCTGCCACAGTATCACAGGGGCTATTTCAGAACCATCTGACTCAGAGCTTTGAACTGGATTGCCTAGATTATCTAGGGCTTTCATCTCTTTCTTTCTTCCTTTTTTCTCTATTTCAAAACTTCTGCTATTGCCTTTTTTTCTCATTTTCGTCTCTCTTTTTATGGTAACGTTTTTTATTTCACATTCATTTTATTATTTCTGATGATTTCTGTTTGAATATTAAATCAAACTATTGCTATTATCTACTGTCCTCACAGATTTCATAAAATCTACTTTTTGAAGCTTTTGGTTTTTTGCTTTAGTTTGAGATGGAGTTGCGCTCTTGTTGCCCAGGCTGAAGTGCAATGACGTGATCTCGGCTTACTGCAACCTCAGCCTCCTGCGTTCAAGCGATTCTCCTGCATCAGCCTCCCGAGTAGCTGGGATTACAGGTGCCTGCCACCACACGTGGCTAATTTTTTGTATTTCTAGTAGAGATGGGGTTTCACCATGTTGGCCAGGCTGGTCTGGAACGCCTGACCTCAGGTGATCCACCCGCCTCGGCCTCCCAAACTGCTGGGGTTACAGGCATGAGCCACCATGCTCGGCCATGAAGCTGTTCTTTAGTGAAAAGAATTTTGCCATTTTCTATTACTTTTTGCCCTATTATGTATATATTATATGTGTGTGTGTATATATATGTATTTGTACACATATAAGGTAATTCATTTGCTTTCAGAAAGCAGATACAAAATGACTTTGAAAGTTGTTTTTCTTCCCATAGGTTACCTGCAACTCTTTTCCTTCAAAGCACTTCTTTATGCAGTCACTAGGATTTGATGCCTTTTAAAAAATTCAGCAAAAATGTTATAGGTCATATAATAATAATCTAGATTTTAAAATAATGTATATTTTAAAATACTATATATTAAGCTTAGTAACTACTATGCTTAGTATAGTGACCACTGTTAAGCCCAGTAACCACTGAGCATTACTATTAAGCTTAGTAATCACTGAGTCAATAGATATAAAATTAAAATGTGATTAATTGGTGAGACTTCATGGATTGTGCTCAAAGCCAGAGTTGAAAATTACTGACCAAAAAATTGTTCTGGTTTTGAGAAATGTCATTTTCCTGATTCGGCTTGTTTTATTTTGTTCATTATTTTTATTTAATTTGGGAGGATCTCAAAAGTATTTATTAAGAGTGGACTGTGGAGTTGGTGGATATAAGAGTATATAGGTTAAAAGTGAGCAATGGTGTTAGGATTCAAATCTCAATTCTGCTCACTAGCTTGCAATCCTGGGCACGTTATTGAACTCTGCATCCCAATTTTCCAAACTAAAATGGGGGTATAATAACACCTACTTTATGAGGCTGTTGTGAGGATTAAGTGAGATAATACATGTGAAGTTCTGTGTCTGGCACTTAGTAAACAACAATAAGTGTTGGCTATTAATATTGTGGTAAAAAGTAGTACCTCAAATTGATAAACAATTGTAGTATGCATATATTAGAGTGGCTAAAATAATTAGTATTGGTTGTCTCTGGGGATTGAAGAGAAGATGGGCAGAGGACTTCTTATTATAAGCCCTTTTGCCCTATTTGATGTTTTTAAAGACGTGTGCTTTGCTACAAGGGAGTGTTTATTGAGAATCCAAGTATGGTCTTGACCCTTTGCTAGGCTCCGAAGTAATAACATTTACAAAATAACACATTGTAAAATGATGTAAGATTAACTGTAGACCTTCAGATACCTCAGGATAGATGAGGGAGAGTGTGTCTGTGTGTATTTTTTAAAATTAGAAATGATTCGTGGTCCTCCTTTCCTCCTAGAGAGGGTTGTAAGGGTATGTTAAGGTAGTCAGCATTGAACAGTTAAGGTGTCTTAAAATGCAGTGTGCTGGCCGGGCTTGGTGGCTTACGCCTGTAATTGCGGCACTTTGGGAGGCTGAGGCTGGCAGATCTCCTGAGGTCGGGAGTTCGAGACCAGCCTGACCAACATGGAGAAACCCCGTCTCTACTAAAAATAAAAAATTAGCCGGGCATGGGGGTGCATGCCTGTAATCCCAGCTACTCGGGAGGCTGAGGCAGGAGAATCGCTTGAACCTGGGAGGCAGAGGTTGTGAGCTAAGATCGTGCCATCCTGCCTGGGCAATGAGCAAAACTCCATCTCAAAAAAAAAAAAAAAAAAAAATGCAGTTTGCTTTTAACAGAACCCACAACAATTACATAATCCGAAAAGATGTTTCACTATTAAGGTTATGTAAAATTCTCTTTCAGCGCATTATCTGATTATAGTATTATTTTATGAATAGATTTTATTACAGATGGATAATTTAAGAGTAAAATCAAATATTTTAATTTTGGAATTTGAAAAATAATGATTCAAGACAATATTATATTTATAAAATACATAAAATTTGACCCAGTGGAATAATTATTTAGACCTAGGATAAAATATCTTCTTTTAAAATTTTCTTAAAGTGGAGCCACAGGCAGCTAATTTGAAAGTACAGTGAAACTTCAGCCTTCTGTGAATGAGATACTGTGAACTTAGTATCCTGAGTTACAGAGAATTAAACAATACTTTTTTGTTTTTGTTTCAATTCCTGTTGCAAATTTGCCAAATTATTTTCTAGGGTTAATACATACTAAACATAATAGAATCTTTCTTTGATAAATTAGAACATTATAGTGTCCTAGGATCATCTTTCTGATTATCGGTGATACTGTTAGGGATATGAAGATTATAACATTAACAGTACCTGAGACATTTTTTGTGTATATATGTCAGATGGCTTGCATTTTTATCAGTTGTTGTATTCTAGAAAAAAATGAAGTGAAAAATTACTTCTGATTGAGATGTTAGTATACCCTACCCTTGTTTAGTTTTTAAGAATAATTTTTCAATTATGAATACTCATTAATTTTTGAAGGATTTAATGAGGTATGAACAAAACTGGTGGTTACCAAAACTATCCCTATTCTCATGAAAAAAAAAAAAGTTCTTTGAGTTGAAGACAGAAGTTTCTTGTTGTGTAAGGATCCTCTTGTTGCAGATGTCAACAATCTTGTCTGAAACATAGTTGGGCAAAAAGGGGAATTTACTGTCTCAGATAACCTAAACTCAGGATGCAAGGATGCAGTTGAAATCAAACACAACTGGAACCTGAGCTGAGAATGCCACCAAAACTCTCTTATCTCTCCTCCTCTCTCCCTTTCAGCTTCATTTTCTCCAAATGCAGACCAGCTTCTTTCTTCCATGTAGCCGGGACATAGATGCCAGCAAATTATAAGTATGAGCTAGGCACTATCCTAAACAATTTTGCATGTATATTCATTCATTTAATCCTCACAGCTTTTTATACCTATTTTACAAATGAGGAAACAGAGGTATAGAGAGGTTAAGTAGTAATCCAGGTTGCCTGTTTTTATAGCACAATACAGTATGATAGAGATGATAGAGTTGGATTTGCTAGGCACTAGCTAGCTGTGGTTACAAATGGTCTCATTTGTGTTTTGTTTTTGAATTTTTTGAACAGACTTAATTTTTTAAGAGCAGTTTTATATTGGTAGCAAAATTGAGCAGAAAGTACGAAGAGTTCCCATATGCTCCCTGCCTGTACACATGCATAACCTCCCTCAGTATGGACATTCTACACTAGCGTGGTACACTTGTTATGGTAGATGAACCTACATTGATGCATCATTATCACCCAAAGGCCATAGTTTACATTAGGGCTCACTCTTCGTGTTGTGTATTCTATGGTTCTTAACACTTGTTTTTTTTTTTTTTTTTTGAGACGGAGTCTAGCTTTGTCGCCAGGCTGGAGTGCAGTGATACAATCTCAGCTCACTACAACCTCTGCCTCCCAGGTTCAAGCAGTTCTTCTGCCTCAGCCTCCTGAGTAGCTGGGATTACAAGCACGTGCCACCATGCCCAGCTAACTTTTGTATTTTTTTTTTTTTTTTTAGTAGAGACAGGGTTTCACTATGTTACCCAGGATGGTCTCAATCTCCTGACCTCGTGATCCACCCGCCTCGGCCTCCCAAAGTGCTGGGATTACAGGCGTGAGCCACCGCGCCCGGCCTTAACGCTTGTTTTTGTTTCTTTGGGAGAGGGATGGAGTTTTGCTCTTGTTGCCCAGGCTGGAGTGCAATGGCGTGATTCTTGGCTCACTGCAACTTCGCCTCCTGGGTTCAAGCAATTCTCCTGCCTCAGCCTCCCTCCCGAGTACCTCTACAAGCACGTGCCACCACGCCCTGCTCATTTTTTGTATTTTTAGTAGAGACGGGATTTCACCATGTTGGCCAGGCTGGTCTTGAACTCCTGACCTCAGGTGATCTGTCTGCCTCGACGTCTCAAAGTACTGGGCTTACAGGTGTCAGCCACTGCACCCGGCGAGGTTCTTAACACTTGTAAGAGTAATGTGTGTCCGCCATTATGTTGTCATGTAGAATAGTTCCATGGCCTTAAAAATCTTTGTTCTGCCTGTTCATATGTCCTTCCCACCAATCCCTGATTTTTTTTACTGTCTCTTTAGTTTTGTTTTTTCCAGAGTATCTTATAGTTGGAATCATGCAGTATGTTGCCTTTTGGATTGGCTTCTTTGACTTAGTAATATTCATTTAAAGTTCCTCCATGTCTTTTCATGGCTTCATAGCTCGTTTCTTTTTAGTGCTGAATAATATTTTATTTTCTGGGTGTATCAAATCCATTCACCCACTGAAGGACGTCTTATTGCTTCCAAGTTTTGTTCATTTACTTTTCACAGTAGTTCTGCAAAGTGTATATGTTGAGCTGTTTACAGATTAGGAAACAGATTCAAGAGAGGTGAAGTAGTTTACTCAGGTTCACATCATTAGAAAGTTGGCATAGTTTATATTAGAACCTAAACTCTGACTCCCAAGCCCATAATCCTTATATGTACTTTGCTGTATACATGAATAGGTCAAAATACAATTTATTTTTTACTTATTTTTTACAATATAGTAGAAAAACTTTATTAGAGTTAACTATCAGTTCTTCCTTGTTACTAAAGGAACTAGGGGAGGATTCATTTTTAGCAGTTGCTCTAAGGCCACTTCTTTTAGTAACCTTTTTACTTGAAATAATAAAACTACATTTCCATAAAAGTCCTTCTCTTTGAAATTTTCTTTTATTCAGTCTATTCTTTTGCTTAGTATACATTAATAAGGTAAAATATACTTCTGGCTGAGTGCGGTGGCTTGTGCCTGTAAATCCCAGCACTTTGGGAGGCTGAGGTGGGAGGATCGCTTGAGCCTAGCAATTCCAGACCAGCCTGGGAAGCAGTGGGATCCCTGTCTCTACAAAAAAATAAAAGAATTAGCTGGGTGTGGTGATGCATGCCTGTAGTCCCAGCTACTTAGGAGGCTGAGGCAGGAGGATTGCTTGAACCCAGGAGGTTGAGGCTGCAGTGAGCCGAGATCATGCCACTGCACTTCGGCCTGGATGACAGAGTGAGACCCTGTCTCAAAATAAAGAATGTGTGTGTATGTGTATGTGTATGTGTATGTGTGTAAATATATATATATACACACACACACATATATATACATACACACACACACACACACGCCCCCCCACCCCCAACATCCTTTGAAAGCGGGTGTCTCTTGTTGAAATAACCCTAGGTGTAGATAAGGATGGAGATGAGTAGTCTCAGTATTAAATCTGTGGCAGAGCTGATGAGAGGACAGACAGTGCTGATTGAATTATAGGTGTCTCAAGTTTAAACATTTTTGAAGAGTCCTACTATCATTTGTATTATCTGTAAATCTCTTCTAAAGATTTGTTACTGGACCACATTCTTCTACTTAGTAGAGCTTTTTTGGAATACATTTCAGGGTAGTGTACCTCAAATGCTTCATCCAGCAGTTAGTAACCATATGATCTTGGGCAAATTACTTAATCTTCTGGGTACCTCAGTTTTATTATCTGGAAAGTGGGGTTAATAACACCTACTTCTTAGGGTCCTTATGAGATTAAATGAGTTAATATACCTTTTGTAGATTTTAACCTGTATGTATTTTAATATCTCTGAAATTGGGATTTGTGACTTATAGTTAATGGTGTCTGTTGCATTAGCGAAATTGCAATAGTGACTGTCAGTGCCTGTGCATGTGGCATCTTTGTGATTATTCCTTTTCTGTTTCTTTTTTGAGACAGGATCTTACTGTAGCTGGGACTGCAAGTGCACACCACCATGCCTGATTAATTTTTTTTATATTTTTAGTAGAGGTGGGTTTCGCCATGTTGGCCAGGCTGGTCTTGAACTCCTGGGTTTAAGCGATTCACCTGCCTTGGCCTCTCAAAGTGCTGGGACCACCATGCCCGGCCTCTTTGTGGTTATTCCTGATAGCACAATTGTACACCTGCTGCCCCCATTTCATTAGCAATCCATTTAAAGAGCATTTTAGAAAGGAGTTTGATTACTGATTGTTTTCTGAAAACTGTTGATAACTTCCAGTAAGATCAAGAAAATCATCAAAACTTGTGGAATGTGTGTCAGTGGCTTGGAGAAGGAAATCCTAGAGATAATAGTGACATTCTTTTAAGAAATGCTATATTTCAGTGTTCTTGGTGGCTCATAAACAATATTGTGATGAAGAACATGGTATTGAAACTCTAAGTTGAACAGTGATTCCAAAGAGGCTAACCTTGAGCATGAACAAGTTTTAGCAATACAGTAACTGATTTGTTTATCTCCATTTGATATAGCCTAAAGAGTGATATTTTAAAAATCTAAGTAAGTCTGTAAAAGATTTTTCAATTAGTGTAAATAATCCTTCAATTAGTAGAAGTAAAAATTTGAAGTGATAAAAAAGCATTCAGTTCAGTTGGCAGTATTTTCTTTCTTAGTGGTACATACAATAATGGTGCATATTATAATCAATAGCATCTTTTGATTTTATGAAATTCTGTCTCTAAGTAAAATTTAGAACAATACCTGGCAAATAGTTAGCTGTTGTTTTATAATCTTTACTTACTTTCTTTCTGCAGTTCCAAGATTTTAAGAGAGCATGTACACTATTGTTAATCTTGTTTTTAACCCTAGAATTTTACCTCCCTATGTTCTTTCACTGAAATTATAAATATTCATTAATCTTTATTTATATTTCTGTAAATATAATCATGAATAAATTCTAGACAGTGTTTTCTTTGGAAATTTTGCTTTCTCTTTGACCACTCATAATGTAAATAGCCAGAATCTTCCACCTGTTTGTGAGAGGTTAATTAGCTTGATTTCAGAAATTCCCATTAAACTTTTTTTCCTTATTTGTGTCCTTTTTCCATTGAATAATTGATGTAATCAAGTCCCA
Organism: Homo sapiens; assembly: GCF_000001405.40. Lineage (NCBI taxonomy): Eukaryota > Metazoa > Chordata > Mammalia > Primates > Hominidae > Homo > Homo sapiens. The sequence continues at coordinate 76,776,098 of NC_000012.12, forward strand.
AAAAAGGGTACAGGTGGAAAAAAAAAATTCTTGACAAACTAGAATCTAGTCTTCTAGCATAGCAGACCATATATAAACTTAAACTTTCTGAACATTATTATCCTAACATCCGATTTATTCTATACTGTTGAATAATGTATAAATTTTAAAGGTATCAGAAATTTAAGTTTCAGCATGGGTTTTTTTTAGCCTTAATGGTGACACATGATTATTGTAAAAAATTTAAGTAGTACAGAAGGATATATAGTTCATGGTGAAGTCCCACAGTTCCCTGTCCCCAGCAAGCACAAACTTCTCTCACTCCTCACAGGTAAATACTACTTTAAAGTACACTCAGAATTTTCTATGCTTGTACATTTAAATATATATTTTACATACATGTTCATGTATATTTATTTCCTTGTTTTTATTACATAAATGTTATGTTATAAAATCTGTATTTTTCTGAATACAATTTGGACATAGCTGTATTTTAGCACATAACGATCTTCCCTATTCTTTGTAGTGTCTGGACCTGCATTGTTCAATGGTGACCACCACTGATGTGTGGCAGTTTAAATTTAATTAAAATGAATAAAATTTAAAATTCAGTTTTTCAGTTATACAAGTTACATTTCAAGTGTTTATTAGCTATGTGTGGCTAGTGGCTGTTGTTTTAGGTAGCACAGAATTATAGAACAGGTCAATAATCTATATACAGAAAGTTCAATTGGACAGCTTTGTTCTGGACAGTTTTTTAAAAAAACTTGTATGAAAATTTTTTTTACTGTGTAACTTTTTATTGAGGCATATTTTATGATAAATTGTGCACATTTTAAATGCTCAAGTTGATAACTTTTCTTGAACTTTTTAAAATAGTTGTAGATTCACATGCAGTTGTAAGAAATAACACGGAGAGATCTCATGTATCCTTTACCTTGATTCTCCCAGTGGTAACACCTTGCAAAATTATAGGACACTGTAGGATAGGATAGGATAGTATATAATAGCACAACCAGGAAATTAACATTGGTACAGTCAAGATACAGCACACTTCCTTCCCCATAAGGATTCTTCATATTGCCCTTTTATACCCATGTGGTCTTCCTTCCAGCTCCCAACCTGTCCTTAACCCCTGGCAATCACTAACCTGTTCTCCATTTCTATTATTTTGTAATTTTAAGAATGTTACATAAGTGGGATCATGTAGTATGTAACCTTATGGGATTGGCTTTTCTCATTCAGCATAATTCTCTGGAGAGTCATCAGGTTGTTGTGTGTATCAGTACCTTGTTCCTTTTTGTTACTGAATAGTATCCCACAGTATGGATGTACCGTGATGTGTTAACCATTCACCCATTGAAGATTATCTGGGTTGTTTCCAGGTTTTGGTTATTAGAAATTAAACTGCTTTAAACATTTGTGTACAAGTATTCATGTAAACATAAATTTTGATTCTTCTGGGAGTGCAATCACTGGGTCATATGGTAGTTGCATGTTAATGTTTGTAAGAAACTGACAAGCTGTTTTCCTGAGTAACTGTACATTTTACATTCCAATCAGCAGTATATGAGTGAGGATGAGGGAGAGCTGCATCCTCACCAGCATTTGGTATTGTCACTTTGTTGTGATTTTTATTGTTATATTTACTTTCTAATTGGTCTTGGGATCTCTATCTTGAGAGGGCCATAAGGCAAGTAGCGTCACTCTAGGAGAGCCCTAGCAGGGATTGGGGAACTGAGTTAGGTTTGTGCGTGTGTGTCAGGTGAGACACATGAGGAAGTGAAACCAGAATGAAACGAGATTTACTGGTAGAGCCCAGAGAGGTTAAGGTTAAGGAAGGATGCGGGGAGCTGAGGGAGGGGAGAGAGAAAAAGAGTGAGAGGGAAAAGGGGATATCAGTGGGACTATGCCTTTTTTAAGGTACATGGGCATTACCCTGTAGGCTTTCCTGTGGTGGTTGTGGATTGGCTAGTTTAAAGCAAACACTCCTGAAGGGAGATCTTATTTACATGACTCTGGTGTTGACCATTAGGTTTTTATCGTGGTCAGCAGCTGTGGGGAATATTGAGTTTTTGGTCAGTGAGATGAAGAAGTCTATATTGCAGACAGTCACACAGGCAAGGGAAGTTTTTTTTTGTTTGTTTTTTTGAGATGGAGTCTCGCTCCCACCCAGGGTCGAGTAGAAGGGCACGATTTCAGCTCACTGCAACCTCTGCCTCCTGGATGGGTTCAAGCGATTCTTCTACTCTCCTGCCTTAGCTTCCCAAGTAGCTGGGACTACAGGCATGCACCACCACACCCAGCGAATTTTTTTAGTTTTTAGTAGAGACGGGGTTTCACTATATGTTGGCCAGGCTGGTCTCAAACTCATGACCTCAGGTGATCTGCCTGCCTCGGCCTCCCAGAGTGCTGGGATTACAGGCATGAGCCACTGTGCCCTGCCGGGAAGTTTTAACTAGGCCAAGATGGAGGGCTATAGCTGGGTTTCAGATAACTTACGTTAGATCTAAAAATGGATGCTGAGTCAGCAACCATAATAAAGAAATTTTTGACACTTTTTAATTTTAGCCCAGTCTTATAGGTAAGTGATAAGTCATTGTCATGTTAATTTGCACTTCCCTAATGGCAGATGATGTTAAATATCTTTTCATGTGCATATTTGCCATTTGTATGTCTTGTTTGGTGAAGTGTCTCTTCACGTCTGTATGACTTTGTCAGGGCTCCCATAACAGAATGCTACAAACTGGGTGACTTAAACAATGGAAATTTTTTTTCTCCAGTTTTGGAGGCTAGAAGTCCAAGATCAAGTTTCTTCTGAGGTCTCTCTGCTTAGCTTGCAGATGGCTGCATTCTCATATTCTCACATGATCTCTTTATGTATCCAAATTTTCTCCTTTTTAAAAGGACAGTAATCACATTAGATTAGGGCCCACCCAATGGCCTCATGTTAATTTGATCACCTCTTTAAAGACCCTAGCTCCAAATACAGTCTGTTCTGAGGTACAGGGGTTAGAGCTTCAACATATGAGTTTCGGGGGTATACATTTCAGCTGCTAATTGTGTCTTTTGCCTATTTCCTAGTTGATTATTTATTTTACTGTCAAGTTTTGAGAGCTGTTTATATATCTTAGGCACTAGTCACTTTGTTGTGATTTGCAGTTATTTTCTCCCAGTCTGTAGCTTGTCTTTTCCACCTTTGTATTAGTCTGTTCTCACGCTGCTAATAAAAACATACCCAAGACGGGGTACTTTATAAAGGAAGGAGGTTGAATTGACTCAGTTACACATGGCTGGGGAGGCCTCACAATCATGGCAGAAGGCAAGGAGGAGCAAAGTCACGTCTTACATGGTGATAGGCAAGAAAGTGTGTGCAGGGGAACTCCCATTTATAAAACCATCAGATCTTGTGAGATTACTATCTCACTAGAATAGCATGGGAAAGACCCATCCCCATGATTCAATTACCTCCTACCAATTCCCTCCCATGACACGTGGGAATTATGGGAACTACAATTCGAGATGAGATTTGGGTGGGGACACAGCCAAACCACATCAGCCTCATAACAGTCTTTCCCAGAGCAAAAGTTTTAATTTTGATGAAGTCTATTCGACCAATTTTTCCTTTTATGAATTGTGCTTTTCATGTCAAGTCTGAGTTTTCTTTGCCTAGCCTGAGATCCCAAAGATTGTCTTCTGTGTTTTTAAGTTTATAATTTTACCTTTAACATTCAAGTTCATGATTAATTTTGAGTTAATTTTTGTATAAAGTGTGAAAGTTAAGGTTGAGCTTCTTTTTTCTTTTTTTTTTGCCTATAGATATCCAACTGCTGTGGTACATCTCTTCCATTGAATTGCTTTTACATTGTTGTAAAAAATCAGTTGAGCATATTTGTTGTTTTTATATCTGGGTCTTCTGTTTCATTGATTTATGTATTCCTCAGCCAATACTACACAGTCTTGATTACTATAGCTATATAGTAGGTCTTGGAGTTTAGTAGTTTGCTTCTTCTCACTTTATTCATCTCTTTCAAAATTGTTTTAGCGGTTTGTTTTCTTTTACTTCCTATGTAAATTTTAGGTTAAACTTGTCTATTGTCTACTTGCTGGGATTCTGATATTAAATTTATATATCAATTGGAGAATTGACAGTTTTTACCATATTAAAATTTCCAGTCTGTCATTATGGCATGCCTGCTTATTTATTTAGATATTCTTTGACTTCTTTTATTGGTGTTTTGTAGTTTCCAGCATAAAAGATACTGTACATGTTTGGTTACAATAATTTCTGTCTCCTCATGCCCACTTAAGGACACCTCTCCAGCAGTTCTCTACACTTAACATCATTAGTTTTTGGCTCTACCAGATCATTTCTGTTAGTGATCATTTCTCTCATCTTACAAAACAAAAGCAAAATAAAAAACTTTATTTTTCTTTGATTCCATGTCACTTCTGGCTACCGCCCAACTTCTTTGTAATAAAATTCTTAAAAAGTTGTCTGTACTTGCTGTTCCCAGTTCCTTTTCTCCCATCTTTTCTTAAGTCAACTGCAGCCTAACATGTGCCCCACTTTCCAAGTAATGTGACCTCTATATTGTTAAATCCAATGATTACTTGCAGTCTTCATTCTTCCTGACTTTTCAATAGCATTGATGTAGTTGATCTCTCTTTGATAAACTTCTTCACTTTTCTTCAGGGAAATACAAATCAAACAAGATAAAATTAGGTAGCCATTGGATCTCCCCAAATTAAGAAGTCCGATAGGCCGGGCGCTGTGGCTTCTGCCTGTAATCCCAGCACTTTGGGAGGCCGAGGTGGGTGGATCACGAGGTCAGGAGATCGAGACCATCCTCATCCTGGCTAACACAGTGAAACACCGTCTCTACTAAAAATACAAAAAAAAAAAAATTACCCGGGCGTGGTAGCAGGCGCCCGTAGTCCCAGCTACTCGGGAGGCTGAGGCTGGAGAATGGTGTGAACCCGGGAGGCGGAGCTTGCAGTGAGCCGAGATTGCGCCACTGCACTCCAGCCTGGGCGACAAAGCGAGACTCCGTCTCAAAAAAAAAAAAAAAAAAAAATCTGATAAATCCAAGTATAGTGAAAGAGAACTCACACATTGCTAGTGAGAGCATAAATTGTTACTACTACCTTGAAAGATAGTTGAAGATACTTATAAGTTCTATTAAAACTAATACGTACTTACCCTAGAGAAACTTTTACAGATGAGACCCATATAAGATTGTTCATTGCAGTATGGTTTGTAGTAGCAAAAAGTGTTAAGCGACTTGTATTTTAATAGGTGCTTTGTTTTGAATGTCTCCTCTAAAACTTATGTTGAAAGTTAATTGTCATTGTGATGGTATTAAGAGGTGGGACTGCTGAGAGGTGATTAGGCTAAGAGGGCTCTGCCTTCATGAATGGATTAATGTCCTTATCAAGAGAGTGAGTTTGTTACTCGAGAGTGGGTGGTTCTAAAAGTAAGTTTAGTCCTCTCGTTTGCTGTCTCATGCTGTCTTGCCCTTGCACCTTCTACCATGGGATGATGCAGCAAGAATGGCCTTGCCAGATGTGGGCCCCTTCACCTTGGACTACTCAGCCTTCAGAACTGTAAGAAATACTTTATTTTCTTTATAAATTACCCAGTCACTAGTGTTCTGTTATAGCAACACAAAATGGACTAAGACAGTAGGAGAATATATCTGGCTTATTCATGTAATGTAATACCATTTAGCAATTACATTGAATAAAGTAGAGCTACATGTATCAGCACAGATAAATCTCAAAAACATAATGTTAACTGAAAAATTCTAGGTGTGATAGGGTAAGTACTGTATGATGTATTTGTATATAACTGAGTGTTAAGTGGGTTTTTTCTTGTCACCTTAGCGTTTTTCCTGGAGCCTAAAGCTAAGGATAGTAGCTGATAAAGCTGATAAAGCTGCATTATAAAGAGATGGTGTTGAATTTTTTGGCAAGTGGCCATGATTTGTTCTGGAACTTTAGCACCTCCAGCCTATACAAGATAAAAAAAGAATTTAATTTGAGGAAGGATTCTTTGAAGAGTTATCAGCTCAAAATGGAGTGCTATAGTCTTTACATTATCTTCTCTGTGGGTGAAAAACAATTTCTCTGAGAGATTGGGGGACTTTTCAGGAAGGAAGATGGTCCTTTAGCTGGATGCCTGCTGGGTTGCAGAAAATAGTTAGGCCTCCCTCCCTGGAATGTTACCTGAGTAAAGTGTTAGAGAATTCTTGGGAAAAGTATGATTTGGGTCTCCTGGAGTTATGGAAGGCCCAGAGACTGAGGCCTGCTGCTGCATTCCTGGAGAAGAATAAATGTAACAGATATATAAAATAGCTTTGCAGTGGAAAAGCTGGAAGAGAGGGCTTTCACTATGTGTCCAGTGATATTGAGTCAAGAGCATTTCCTTTGGGCCAGGCAAACACTTTAGATGCTGTTCAGTCTAGTGACATCTTGAAAGAAACTTAAAGAAAGTTGCCTGCTCAGCAGACACAACCTCAGATATGTTCCACTGGAGTAGGAGCTGAGCAAGAGTTTTAAGAATTGTGCTGGAGAATGTCTCGTTTGTACCAGAGAATATTACAGAGGGAAGTCTTGTCAGAGAAAGCCAGAAGTGGACAGTGACTGAAGTGATAAACAACAGATTTTATTCAGGAACTTTGCAATAGTGGAAAAAATACCTCAGTGTAGAACTGGGCTCAATTCCAAATACAGCAAGGACAGGTGGGGATTTATAGTCAGCAAGCAGAATGAGGGGTAGTCAGCAGATGGAAAATTACCAAGAGAAGACATCAGGGGCGGGGGATTCTTGCTAAAACAACTTAACAGAATTCCCCACCTTTAGTATCTGATGACCTTGGCCTGCCTGACTTAGGTCTGATTGACTTAGCAGAATTCTTGCAAAAATTGGGATATGCAGGCCCCCAAATGGCAAGGGTTGACGTTGAGGCCTAGTTGAGAAGAGGGCTCAGAGGAGGCTGACTAAAGTTTGGTCAAGTAGAAAGTTAGTCCCCACAGGGTGAATTTCAGATCTCTCAAAATGTCCTGCAAGAGAGAGCCCAAGGTTAGGTTTCTCCCATGATTGAGGGTATTTGATAGCTAAGAGAAAACTACAAAACTCCAGTCATGTGTATTAGTCTGTTTTCACACTGCTATAAAGAAATACCCGAGACTGGGTAATTTATAAAGGAAAGAGATTTAATTGACTCACAGTGCCACATGGCTGGGGAGGCCTCAGGAAACTTGCAATCACAGTGGAAGGGGAAGCAGACACGTCTTACATGGTGGCAGGAAAGAGGAGAGGGGTACGTGAAGGAGGAACTATCAAACGCTTATGAAACCATCAGATCTCATAACTGTCTATTTATGAACTCACTATCATGAGAACAACATGGTGGAAACCGCCCCCATGATCAATCACCTCCCATCAGGTGCTTCGCACAACACCTGGGGAATACAGTTCAAGATGAGATTTGGATGGGGACACAGAGCCAAACCGTATCACCATGGAATACAGATTTTATCTCTTCTCACTTCTCCACTTTTATTTTCATCCTTTAATAGGCACAATAATGGTTTCCCAAAGATATCAGGTCCTAATCTCTGGAACCTATAAATGTTACCTTATCAGGAAAAAGAGTTTTTACAGAAATAATTAAGTATCTTGAGATGGAGGGATTATTTTGGTTAGCTGAGCCCTAAATGTAATCACATATATCCATATAAGAGGGAGGTGGAGGGAGATTTGAACATATACACAGAGGAGAAGGCAATGTAAAAACAGTGGAGAGAGATTTGAAAATGTTTGCCTTGATTATGCCAGAGGGCTAGAAGAGGCAAGGAACAGATTCTCCCCTAGAGCCTCTGGAGGGAGCAGAGTGTGTGGCCCTACTGACATTTTGACTTTAGTCCAGTGATGATTTTCGACTTCTGACCTCTAGAACTATAAGATAATGAATTTGTGTTGTTTTAAACCACTAAATTTGTGGCGATTTATTAGAGCAACAGTACTAAACTAAACTAGCACATATACCACCACACAACATATACAGATTTCAAAAAGTTCATGGAAAATGGGTATTATGAAAAAACTATACAGGGATTTCAAAAATTTTTTTGCACCAAAATAAACTTTTAACTAGTTGTAACATGTCTAAACCATATCTAGTTTGAGGCATTAAGGAGGATAAGACATCAGTTTGAAAAGAGCCCCTATCAGAGCAACATGAATTCTACTAAAATTGAAACAAGAACAAACATCAAATTTATGGTGAAGCTCGGGTAGAAGATGGTGAAATCATTGATGCTTTGTGAAAAGTTTATGGAGACAATGCCCCAAAGAAATCAGCAGTATATAAATGGATAACTTGTTTTAAGAAAGGATAAGATGATGTTGAAGGTGAAGCTGGTGGCAGAAGACCATCGACATCAATTTGTGAGGAAAAAATTCATCTTATTCATGCCCTAATTGAACAGGGTGGAAGATTAACAGCAGAAACAGTAACGAACACCATAGACATCTCAATTGGTTCAGCTTATACAATTCTGACTGAAAAATTAAAGTTGAGCCAACTTTCCACGAGATGGGTGCCAAAACCCTTGCATACATATTGGCTGCAGACAGGAGCAGAGTTTTTAATCAAGATCCTGAAGCATTTATTTGAAGAATTGTAACAGGAGATGAACATGTCTTTACTAGTACGATCCTGAAGACAAAGCACAGTCAAAGCAATGGCTACCAGTGGTCTACTCAAAGCAAAAGCAAAAATTCAGGAGTAAAGGTTGTGGTAACAGAATTTTGGATGCTTAAGGCATTTTGCTCGTTGACTTTCTGGAATGCCAAAGAATGACAACATCTGCTTATTATGAGAAGGCTAGCCAAAGCTTTAGCAGAGAAAAATGCCTGGGAAAGCTTTAACAGAGAGTCCTTCTCTACTATGACAATGCTCCTGCTAATTTCTCTCATCAAACAAGGACAGTTTTGTGAGTTTCAATGGGAAATCATTAGACTTCCACCTTACAGTTCTGAATTGGCTCCTTCTAACTTCTTTTTGTTCCCTAATCTTAAAACATCTTTAAAGGGCACCCATTTTTTTCAGGTAATAATATGAAAAATATTGCATTAACTTGGTTAAATTGCCAGGACCTTCAGTTTTTTAGGGTTGGACTAGATGATATCATCATTTACAAAAGTGTCTTGAACTTGATGGGGCTTATGTTGAGAAGTGAAGTTTATATTTTTAATCTTTTGATTCCATTTTTTTTGCAAACTTTTTGAAGTCCCCTCATACTCGTCACCTTACGATGGGACCACATCCCAGTAAACTCATTAGTCAGAAATGCATTTAATAGTCTGTTAAATCCATCATAAAGTTAAAAATTATAAGTTGAACCATTGTGAGTCCAGATACTTTTCTACTTATGATGGTGGTTATGTCCTGATAAACCCATCGTAAACTTGAAAAAATTATTGTTCACCATCCTTAGTCATCTGTAATAATTTATTTGCATAGCATGGGCACACATAATAGGTCATTTAATTGCCTGGGACAGGGAAGGCTATGGTGACTCTTGAATTGTGAATTGAATTGTGATTTCTAAAGGTTTGCCTGAGCCTGAGATGGGATGTGTCTTCTAAGTAGAATAGCTAACATGAGCACAAAGATACTGAGGTTTTTAAAAGTACATGACTTCTTGGAATGGCTGGTGTACGTAAATGTGTAGGATGTGTAGAAGGGAATGGTGGATACTAAAGCTGGAAAAAGCAAACTGGGACCACTTCATGAAGGATTTTGTATGATTGCCGAAATGTCCTCTCTTTACCCTTATATGTATGATTTTAAGGATTTTAAGTAAGGGAGTGATAGGGACAGTAATATGGGTAGACCATTTGTGATAATATTAATACAGAGGAAGGGACGGATTTATTTTGAGAAAAGAAGCATTGCGACTTGGTGAATATTTGAAGCTGTGGGATAAAGAATCAAGGGGGAATTAGTTTTCTTTTTCTTTCTTTTCTTTCTTTCTTTTTTTTTTTTTAAAGAGATGGGATCTTGCTCTGTTGCCCAGGAGTGCAGTGGTGTGATCACAGTTTACTGTAGGCTCAAGTGATCCTCCCACCACAACCTCCTGAGTTGCTGGGATTACAGGTGTGTGCCATTAAGCCTGGCTAATTTTTTTTATTTTTATTTTTATTTATTTTTGAGACAGAGTCTTGCTCTGTCGTCCAGGCTGTAGTGCAGTGGCACGATCTGGGTTGAAGTGAATCTCCTGCCTCAGCCCCCTGAGTAGCTGGGATGGCAGGCACCTGCCACCATGCCTGGCTAATTTTTGTATTTTAGTAGAGATGGGGTTTTACCATGTTGGTCACACTGGTCTTGAACTCCTGAACTCAAGCAGTCCACCCGCCTCGGCCTCCCAAAGTGCTGGGATTACAGGCATGAGTCACTGTGCCTGGCCTTTTTAATTTTTATTTTTAGAGACAGTCTCACTATGTTCCTCAGGCTGGTCTCAAACTCCTGGCCGCATGTGGTCCTTCCCCATCAGCCTCATGAGTTGTGGGGATTATAGGTATGCACCACTGCACCCAGCTGAATTTTTCTAGCTTGGACATTTTGATAGTTAGAAATGCCTTCTAGTAAATAGCACAGGAAAGGTGGAAGTATAAATTTTGGGGATGGTGGAAAGGAAAAAAAAATCTTTAGATGATCTTCTAAAATTGCATATCTAATTCTGTTACTTCCTTCCTCAAAACTCCCTGATTGATCTCCGTTGCCTGCTGAACTAGATGCCTAAATGTCTTTACTTATTCTCAGTCGAAGATGGGGTTTTTGCACTTCTCCTAAGAGATAGTTTACAATACTTCTTAGGATTTTCAGTTACGTATCTTTGCCATTCAAATTACATTTTGGTAATTACATTTAGATAATTTACATGTGCACTTGATGCAAACATTTAAAAAACCAAAATAAAACAACTTAAAATACTTGAAGGTACTTCTTCCTTGAAATTTTCCAGAGTCGTTTTATGTCTGCCCTAGTTTTTTGGGCCCTAATGGAAATGTCACCACGACTTGAGTGTGGGCTGCTGATAAGAACAGTTGGCCTGTGGTAGAGAAGGGAGGTCAAGGGGAAGAGTGAAGGTCACTTTCATAATATTATCATCAACTAGGAGATACATAAAAATAATACTGGTCATAATCTTTACAGGATGAAATCGAGAATCTCCAATGAAATATTAAATTGGCCATATTCTATAATGTAACAGCCTGTTGGCATTTTTATGCCCAATCAAGTGGGCATTTTTATCCATATACAGTGTTATGCATTCCCTGGAATATATTTGAATAAGGATGATTGAACAGCTTTATGATGAAGAAACACTAAATACATTGACTATTAAAAAATGGAGGAAAAATAATAGGAAATAAGGAAGTATTCTCATTTTACTTTTCCAATATTGCATTTGATGTTTTTGCCAATGCCATCGGCCATAGAGTGAAAACACACACTCTGTCTCTCCCTCTCTCTCTCTCTCTCTCTCTCTGTCTCTTGTGTGTGTGTGCGCGCGCAGGAGAGTTGATGGTATTCTTACAGTATTCAAAGGTATCTAAAATCAGAGATGATATTTTAACATTGTGGCTGGATATAAGATAAATCTGTGAACATTAGTAGTAAAACCATATACTAGTTATAACCAGCTCCAAAATACAATGAAAATGATTTATATAGATCCATTTACACACTACTTACCAAACTAAACAACTCTCAGAATCATATTAGTCCGGATAAGCTATGTTTTGCTGCAGTAACAACCCTAAATTTCAGTGGCTTAGCTGAGTGTGGTTGTGTGCACCTGTACTACCAACTACTCAGGAGGCTGAGACAGGAGGATTGCTTGAGCCCAGGAGTTCCAGGCTGTAGTGGTGATGATCACGTCTGTGCATAGCCACTGTACTCTAGCCTGGGCAACATAGTGAGACCCTGTCCCTTAAAAAAATGTTAGTAGTTATGCTACACATACATTGTGGGTGGGATAGTAGGTTTTCTATCCAGTGATTATCTCTACTCTCTAGAAGATTGCCAGTCTCCTTGGCAGATGGAAAGAGAGACTGGGGAATTGCATGTTGGCTCTTAAACTTGTTCTCTGAAAGCAACAGATCCTTTTTATTCATATTCCATTGGTTAAGATCACATGGTCAATCACTTGGACACACTTATCTTTCAAAGGGCCAAGGGTGTACAGTTCAACTTTGTACCTGAGAAGAGAACTGAAAATATTTCATGAATAGCACTAATAATTGTAGCAGTATTGAAATATAAAAATGAAAACCAAAAAAGCACAAGGAAAAGATTAATACATGTGACTATAAAGGGTATAATCTCTGAATTATATTGAAAGCATAAATGAACAGTTCTAAACATGGAAGTCTTTAGATCAGTATGAAAAAGATTAATCTATATATAAAAGTGTAATACAAATATATTAAGCAGATTTCAGGAGTCAAGTACAATAAAATGACCAAAAGATATGAACAGGTAATTCCCAAAAGATGAACTAGGATAGGAAAATATATTTAAGTTGGAATCGCAATTTTTTTTTTTTTTTTTTTTTTTTTTGAGCAGAGTTTCGCTCTTGTTGTCCAGGCTGGAGTGCAGTGGCATGATCTCTGTTCACTGCAACCTCTGCCTCCCGGGTTCAAGCGATTCTCCTGCCTCAGCCTGTCGAGTGGCTGGGATTACAGACATGCACCACCACGCCCAGCTAATTTTGTATTTTTAGTAGAGACGGGGTTTTCTCCATGTTGGTCAGGCTGGTCTCAAGCTCCCGACCTCAGGTGATCCGCCTGCCTTGGCCTCCCAAAGTGCTGGGATTATAGGCATGAGCCACCGTGCCCAGCAAGTCTTTCTTACTCTTTAAATAGTGGAGAATTTAAAAATAACACCCAGTGCCAGTGAGTTTATGGAGAAATAGTTAATCATGTATTGCTGTTTGGATTATAATTCTTTTGCAAAACAATTTAGATACCATGTCAAGAACCATAAAAATATTCATACTCTTTAAGAATCCGTCTCTAGGAGTTTACCCCAGTTAAAATGAAGAAATATTAAATGAGTTAAAGAAAATATTTTTCAGTAGTGAGGAAGAATCCATCCATTTATTCTTTCATTTCATTTAAGGAGACCAGTATTATTTGTGCTAGGCTCTGTCCTAAGCACTGGACATACACAAATGATTAAGATAGGATTCCCACCCTGTCATAGCTTAAAGTCTAATGGTGAAGAGAATGTTAGGGGAAGACAGAGAAGAGGAAAGCCTAAAATACACAATCTCAGTTCAGTTAGGACATGTAAGAATAACCTAAAAATGTTCAGCAACTGGGAAATGTTTCAGAACATTTTGATATATTGGTATATGCAGTGGTATATATTGGTATATGCAGAGTGACTAACTGTGGTTGAAAGGAATACTTACAAAAACTATGTGTAATGGCATAAAGAAATGTAAAAGGAAAGAATATTAAGGGTGTGAGTACTATGATTATAGACTATATAAAAATACATAAACATTTGGGGAAATAAAGATTGTAAAGGAGTGTTGAAAGAAATCCGAAAAAAAAAATAAGGTTAGATTAAAAACAATAGTTGCCCTTTAAAATACATAACTTGAGTCTAGTAATGAGAAAAACGTCAAAGAAATCCCAGTTGAGGGTCATACTACAAAATACCTGACTAGTTATTCTCAAAACTGTCAAGGTCATCAAAAACAAGGGAAGTCTGAGAAGTGTCACAGCCAAGAGTAGCCTAGGGAGCCATGATAACGACATGTAAGGTAGTATCCTGGATGGGATCCTGGAACAAAAAGAACATTGGACAAAAACTAATGAACTCTGCACAAAGTATGGGCTTAGTTAATAATAGTGTATCAATATTGGTTCTTTAAAGGTAATGTATCATACTGTTAGCTGTTGTTAATAGGGGAAACAGCATGGGGAATATGAGAACTACTCTCTTGACATTGTTTTTGTAAATCTAGACCTCTTATAAAAAATGAAGCTTTTTTTTAAAGAGATAGGAAGAGGAGAGAAACATATGCATATAGGCATTTACTTAAATGTTCATCAGGCTGGGCACGGTGGAGCACACCTGTAATCCCATCACTTTGGGAGGCCGAGGTGGGTGGATCACTTGAGGTCAGGAGTTTGAGACCAGCCTGGCCAACATGGTGAAACCCCGTCTCTACTAAAAATACAAAAATTAGCTGGGCTTAGTGGCACGCATCTGTAGTCCCAGCTACCCTGGAGACTGAGGCAGGAGAATCAGTTGAACCCAGGAGGTGGAGGTTGCAGCAAGCCAAGATCATACCACTGCACTTCAGCCTGGGTGACAGAGCGAGACTCTGTCTCTAAATAAATAAATATTCATTCATCAAATGTCTGTGGAAAGACATTATAATACACTGCATACAATACGATACATATATTGTTACAAATACATGTATAGATAGGGATTAATGCTAGAAGGAAATGAAGTGAAAACTGTTATTTAAGGGAGCTAAGGTTGATGAATATTTTCCCAAATGTTTTCCTAAATCAGTTTTGTTCAGTCTTTCCTGAAAGACAGTTCATCACAAAGTTAAATACCTCATGTTCTCACCCATACATGGAAGCTAAAGAAGTTAATCTCAGAAGTAGGGAGTAGAATAGTGGTTACTAGAGGCAGGAAAGAGGAGGAAGGAGATAGTTAAAGGTTGGTTAAGGGATATAAAAGTACAGCTAGTTAGGAGGAATAAGTCCTAGTGTTCTATAGTATTACAGACTGACTAACAATTTATTGTATATTTTCAAATATACAAACACAGATTTTTAATGTTCTCAACACAAAGAAATGATCAATGTTTGAGGTGATAGATATGCTAATTATCCTGTTTTGGTCATTGTACATTGTATACCTGTATTGAAATATCACTCTGTATCCCATAAATATGTACAATTATTGTGTCAATTAAAAATAAAAGCCGAGAAAACATGGTGTTTCAGGTAGGTTGTAAGAGTCTGTCTTGAGTATAGTGCCATCTGCTGGCAATGTTAACTAATTACATTTTTAAAAAGTTATTTTATGATTTTATAGGGGAAACTGGTTTTTCTTGCCATTTTGTTATTCACTTGGTTATATATTTTTATGCTTATGCCCTCTTTTTATTATGAACAATAAGCATTCCTTTAAAGATCCTTATGATATGCCTAGAATTTAGAAGAAATCACTACCTCAGGTTTTCCTTTGTTGCCAAATTTTTTTTGCCTATTTCTATGGCTGTAACAAAATGCCTTTATTTTGCAAATGTAATTTGGGGTGAAATAATTTTTTTTAAAAGGAGCTTTATACGTATGCTTTTTGTTTTATTTTGTTTTAAGAAGGTTCGTTAGTATTAGGTAGAATTTAGAAATGAATCAAGTACCCGTAGAGACCCAAAATACCATAAATTTAATAGAATTAAATTTGAAGGGCAAGTCCCTTCCATTACCCTTCTTTCACAATATTCCTGAACTCACTATACTTAGTATACTATACTATACATCTGGGATTAGCATAGACGCAACAAGTCAAGGGCTCAGTCCCACAAGACTGAAGTCCCCACTTCAGATGCCAGTCACAAATCAGGCCTCCAGTATTTCTGGACTGACTGGCTATAAATTGGGTTCCCATGACTCCCTCCTCAGATTTGATAATTTGCATAAGTTGCTCACAGAACACAGGGAAACACTTTACTTACATTTTTCAGTTTATTATAAAGGATACAACTCAGGAACAGCCAGATGAAAGAGATGTATGGGAGGAGGTCTGAGTAGGGGAGTGTGGTTTCCATGCTCTCTCCAGGCATACTACCCTCTCAGAACCTTAATGTCTCCACCAATCCAGAAACTCGTCAAATGTTGTTTCAGGAGGTTTTATAGAACTTAATATTCAGCACCTCATTCTCCTTTCTGGAGGTCAGTAAGAAGAGTTGAAAATTCCAGCTCTCTAATCACTTGGTCATTCTAGTCACCAGCCCCCTCCTGAGTTTATGCTATATAGGCTCCACTCCAGGTCACTTCATTGGCATAAACTCTGGTGTAGTCAAAAGGGACCTTTAATGAATGACAAAAAACAGTCCTATCACTCAGAAATTTTAAGCATTTTAGGAGCCTTGTGCCGTGAACCTGGGACAAAGACGGATTACACTTATACCACAATAGGTCTAGCATTTTAAAAAGTTAACTAGTTTGCACATAGACACTTGGCGAATAGTTGATTGGTTATATAATCCCATCAAGGTATGCAAATAAACATGTATTATGGCATCTCTCATTGGCATATAAACTAGTATTTGCCCTATACCTGCTGTATAAGATTGAGTCTTGTCATGTTGATTTCTCTTTGCTGCAGTGTTTATCGCAGCTCAGCTTATCCCAGCTCTTCCCATTCCTGTCTACTATTCCTGTCTACTATCTGCTACCTATAGTAGCAGATTTTGGAGGTAATTTCTCTCCTTCCAGTTCTCTTCAAAGCCAGGACTATTAAAACAAACAAAAAAACCTTCTGACTGTCAACTAGATAATGTTAAGAATCTTCCAAGTGACTATAATTTTAAAAAAATATATGAAATCATTTTATGTTCCCCTTAGAACTTGGAGAATGTCTAATCTAGAAGTTTCAGAACTTTTTTTTTAGAAAGCAGCTAAACCTTTAATTGAAGAAATCTTGTATAAAGCTGCATGTCCTGGGGTTCCTACATAAGCAAACCCAAACCCAATTCAATGAAAACAGTGACATCAAACTTAAGTCTAACTAGAGACATTATCAGTTAGAAATCACCAACTGACCTCTAACTTGGGACCTTTTACTGGATCATGATCAAATAAGGCAAATGCCTAGCTAGCTATGGCTGATCAAGTAATTGCTTTGCTTCCAAGTTCAGCCTGTTGAAACCCTCTGCTCATGCTCTGAAGCTGAGCTTGCTGAACCTCTTTTGGTTATTAGTGTTGTCAGATTCGTGAGTTGTCCTTTGCTCAGATAAACTCTGCTAAATTTAATTTGCTTAAAGTTTTTAATACCCAGTATCTAAAAACAAATAATGAAGTGCTTTGTTTAAGACGGGAATGAGGCTGAGTGCAGTGGCTCCTGCCTGTAATCCCAGCACTTTGGGAGGCCGAAGTGGTAGATCACTTCAGGCCAGGAGTTTGAGACCAACCTGGCCAACATGGTGAAACCCTGTCTCTACTAAAAATAGAAAAATTAGGCAGGTGTGGTGGTGTGTGCCTGTAGTCCCAGCTACTCAGGAAGCTGAGGCAGGAGAATGGTTTGTACCTGGGAGGCGGAGGTTGCAGTGAGCTGAGATCATGCCACTGCACTCCAGCCTGGGTGACAGAGTGAGGCTCTGCCTCAAAAGAAGGGAATGAGTGTGTGGAGTTTGAAATCTCTGAGCTCTTCCACTTTTACCTTGAGGCACCTCAGAGGAACTTTTTGCTTATTTTATCCAAATCCCGTTTTACGAAGGAGAGATCTGTACCCTATAGTAGTTAATTGACTTGTTAGGTGTACCCTAGGTAGGGGAGTGGCGGACTTTTATTCATTAGCCTCTCAGTCGTGGATTTTTTTCTATTATACCAAGCTGCTTCTAATGGAATTACTGCGTTCTTAAAAGTTACAATGACACACATACATATTTTTAAATTAGTATTGCTTTTCTTGGTAGAAATAGCAATTAAATTGCTTCTTGGTTTCCATTAACATCGAGGAAAAATTACAGGATTTTATTTTATTTTTTTGAGACAGAGTCTCACTCTGTTGCCCAGGCTGGAGCACAGTGGCGCGATCGTGGCTCACTGCAAGCTCCACCTCCTGGGTTCATGCCTTTCTCCTGCCTCAGCCTCCCGAGTAGCTGGGACTACAGGCGCCTGCCACCATGCTGGGCTAAATTTTGTATTTTTTAGTAGAGACGGGGTTTCACTGTGTTAGCCAGGATGGTCTCAACCTCCTGACCTTGTGATCCACCTGCCTCTGCCTCCCAAAGTGCTGAGATTACAGGCGTGAGCCACTGCACCCGGCCAAATTACAGGATTTTAAAGAGTTTAATGAACTAAATATTTGTATGTTGAAAATATATTTAATATATAATAGCAAATTTTTAGCTTAAAAATTATTATCTATGTTAGATATGCTTATTTATATGAACATGTTAAAAATATGTTTTATAATTAGAACTGTTACTCCTAGGCCTATTGATAGTTGTGATTATCTTGATAGAGTGTTGTCATTTGTCACATTGACAAGGTACTAGTCCTAGAGATAAACCAGTATCCAGTCTGTTTAAAAGTGAGAAATAAAGTTCTTTATTACAAAATTTGTTAGGTAATAAAGCAGGTTGGAGATTTTCATATATACCTTTTCTTTAGTGAGTATAACTCTGCCACTGTAGAATTATTTGAGATATGTTTAGTTAAAGGCATATTTTAAAAAATAGATACCTTTTACTAAGGAAATAAAAACAACCTTATCGGAGGCACAAAACAGATACTTACATAGGTTAATTTTAATATGTTACTGGAAAAAAAAAGTCTAATTTCCAGTAACATTTTTAAGCTCGCATTTGGCAATGTCAGTGAAACAAACTGAGAATACAATTTAATCATTATGTACAGTAAATGAGGTCTCTGGGCATGAAAATAAAATTAAAGTTTCTTGAAAACTTTATGATAGTAATCCTCAGAAAGAGACTTATTTTTATTCTATGAATATTATTGGTATGTAAAAGCAATGTATTTGTCCATAGTAAAAAAGAATAGCATTTTGCCGTAGCACATTTTCAAAGTTTTTTCAAGTTATGTTATTACCTTTTGGATATTATGTTGCCCTCATCTGTGTTTTTACTTATTATTGGAAGGCTCTTGCTTATAATATTTGACTTATTTTTCTTCTCTACTTTGTCTTTCCATTCTGGATTGGAAGTCCTTCAGGATGACAGGCTATATTTTGTATACATGCACAGTGATGCTCTGAGCTATAGTGGAGCCTGAAGCAAAAGGAAGAGTTAGTGATTCTGATGCTGTCTCTGTTTTAAAATGTTGATGTTTGGTTCATGGGTGTGTGTGTGTGTGTGTGTGTGTTTTGTTGCATTGGTTTTGTTTTAAAAATATTCCATTAAAACGTTGTTGTTTTTGTTGTTGTTGATCTTGATTACTGCGTTTTTTGACAACCTCTTTAACGTTGCACATGTCTTACCCTATCCTGGGTGGGGTCCAAGTGTACATTGTAGAGAGCTTTATGTATAGCAGGCTCTCAATACATGTTTTGTTGGGTATATTATTCTGTTCTCCCTGAAAGATGTGATCAAGTTTTTATTCTTTTTCAGGTATCTTACAGCCATATAGATGTCAAAGTTGGAGTTTAAAAAAATTATTTTCCTTGTGGTTGGAGAGAATAGAATCAGAAAAGAAAATTTAGAAATAAGAAAGTGTTACTGGCTTAGAAGTATTTTACTTTACCTTAACCCCACTGAATATAGAGCATAGAGAGATTGAAAACTGGAATTCTGTGGAGAAATTAAATAGAAAAGATTTAAAGAAATTAAATGGATAAGTCTTATGTATTGGCTTGCTTTGTCAGTTATTCAGAACA
This sequence comes from Homo sapiens, assembly GCF_000001405.40. NCBI lineage: Eukaryota > Metazoa > Chordata > Mammalia > Primates > Hominidae > Homo > Homo sapiens. Next base: position 76,795,753 of record NC_000012.12, read on the forward strand.
TTGTGTATACTCAAAATACTAAACCTACTCAAGCTACTCTATTTTAATGGAGTTTGAGAACAACCTCTTAAAAAATCATTTAGTGAACTATCTGCAGTATATTGTGAATCTTGGCTTAAGAATGATGTATATTTCTTTCTTCTAATGTGGGTATATAATTATAAATGTTAAAGTGTATTTTAACATTGGCTATAGCATTTTCATAAGGAATTAAGCATTTACTTGTTGAAAGATTATATGCTAAGCAGAATTTGCTTGTGTAAAACTTTTAAATTCCTTTTCATTGAAAATATTCAGATTGATAGTCTTCTAAATTTATGGTTCAAACAAATTAGTTTTAGAACTTTCCACAAAATTTGAATGGCTAGAGTAAGCTAAATAGCTTTTTCCTCTAGTAAAATACTCTCAACTTGGTATGATTAAGTATCAGTGGTAGGTGGTTTATCAGAGGCAAGAGAGCATATATTGTTCTAAGGATTTCTTTCCAAATCTTTTATGATTTATCCTTTTATTTATATTTACACATATGTTTGTCAAAAATATCAGAAACACAGCATTTTCAACAGATGTTATTGGAACTGAACAAACTCAGTTTTTCAGTTTTTATATAAAAGAAACAATTGTATTTTAGTGCTATGTTATATTGAGGAAATTGACTATATATACCAAATTTTGTATTTTTAATAGAAAATTACAGCATGTAAACTTTGAATAGATGTAATATTCTTTGAAACTCATTTAAATTTTTATGTAAATTAAATTTTATATATATGGATTTTTATATAAAATCTTTTTAAAAGGATATTAACATTTTTAGGCCTATTCAAGCAGATTTACCTTTTATCAGCACTGCTGTATTCCTTATTCATCTAATGGTAGTTCAGAGCATGAAGAAGTTTAGGAAAGGTGATATCTGAGAATAATAGAAAAATAATATCCATAGGTTCCTTCCTTTAGGGCCTTAGAGTTTATCTGAGGAATAGAGTAGTGCATGTGATGAAGGTTTTAAAGTAGAGTGTTAGAGCTGTGGGTCATACTAGAATAATAGAAAAATTGGTCAGAGAGAATGAGTTGATCTGATGATGAGGTAAGAGAGTTCTGTGGAGCTGAAGATTAGTTTCAGTTGCTAAGTTGTTACTTGTTTCTAATCTTACAGATTGTTTTAGCTTGAGAATGTGTAAAATGGGTAGATCTCTTTGAACAAGCTTTTTCCCTAAAGAGTGTAGACTTGGCCGGGCATGGTGGCTTATGCCTGTAATCTCAGCACTTTGGGAGGCCAAGGCGGGCGGATCACGAGGTCAGGAGATGGAGACCATCCTGGCTAACATGGTGAAACCCCGTCTCAGCTAAAAATGCAAAAAATTAGCTGGGCATGGTGGCACGTGCCTATAGTCTCAGCTACTCAGGAGGCTAGACAGGAGAATCACTTAAACCTGGGAGGCAGAGGTTGTAGGGAGCCGAGATCGCGTCACTGCACTCCAGCCTGGGTGACAGAGTGAGACTCCATCTCAAAAAAATAAATAAATAAAATAAAAGAGTATAGACTTTAGAATAAGGTAAATTTAATTATTTCAGTAATTAGCATTTCTCAAACAACACAAAAGCACTACTATAAAATATAGAAATATTTTCTGTACCTCTTTTTTCAATTCTTGCCTGTGTGTGATTTTCTTTTTAACAGGAAATCAAACCCCAAAGCCATTATAACCATGGATATGGTGAACCTCTTGGACGGAAAACTCATATTGATGATTACAGCACATGGGACATAGTCAAGGCTACACAGTAAGGTTTTTGTTGTAGTTGTTTTCTTTGGCATGTGTATTTCAAGTGAAATATGAATCTGAATAACAGTCATATTACTTTGGGAAAAACATCAGTATATCTCAATTAAAAAATTAGTTTATGGGCCGGTTGCGGTGGCTCACACCTGTAATCTCAGTACTTTGCAAGGCCGAGGAGGGTGGATCACCTGAGGTCAGGAGTTTGAGACCAGCCTGGCCGACATGGTGAAACCCCGTCTCTACTAAAAATACAAAAAATTAGCCAGGCATGGTGGTGGATGCCTATAATCCCAGCTATTTGGGAGGCTGAGGCGGGAGAATCGCTTGAACCCAGGAGGCGGAGGTTGCAGTGAGCCGAGATTGCGCCACTGTGCTCCAGCCTAGGCAACAAGAGTGAAACTCTGCCACACACACACACACACACACACACACACACACACACGAAAATTTAGTTTATTTCCCATTGGATAATTGAATAGGTCTGTTTGCTTTTGGTACTTGCTGATCTTTCCAGAAGTATACTATTAGGCCCTGAGAATATTAAGGTTACTTATGGTGAGTTGGAAAACATTGTTGGAATTAAAGCACTTTAAATGGAAACCATCAGTGTGCATCCAATATTCTCCCGCCCGCAACCAGGTACACAGATTAGAAATAAAACGTAGTTAATGTCATATTTACTTATTTAACCCGTGCTAAGGGAAATATCACAGTTTTCTAAAATATCGTCAAAATACCAGATTATCAGTCTTCGAGATAGGCAAAGGAAAAGGACAAATCTGACTTTTTATAATGCAAAGTATATGGAAGTTGAAATAACAACAGTTATTTTCATCTGCAAAGAGGAGAAACTAGTTCATAGATTCTTGAGCTTTAAGAATTGTCTGAAATTGGACAGATGTGGAAGTTCATGCCTGTAATCCTAAAACTTTGGGAGGCCAATGTGGGAACATCACTTGAGATCAGGAGTTTGAGACCAGCTTGGGCAATAGAATGAGACCCTGTCTCTGCAAAAAAAGAAAAAAAAAAAAAGTAGGGCATTGTATTACTCCGTTCTCTCACTGCTATAAAGAAATACCTGACACTGGATAATTTATGAAGAAAAGAGGTTTAATTGGCTTATGATTCTGCAGGCTGTACAGGAAGCATAGCGGCTTCTGCTTCTGAGGAGTCTTCAGGAAACTTTACAATCATGGTGGGAGGTGAAGGGGAAGCAGGTACATCTGAACCTGGCTGGAGCATGAGGAAGAGAGAGTGGGGAGGAGGTATTGCACATTTCCAAACAACCAAATCTCATGAGAACTCTATGACAAGAACAGTACCAAAGGGATGGTGCCAAAGCATTCATTAAGGATCCACCCCCTTGATCCAGTCACCTCTCACCAGGCCCCATCTCCAACATTGGGGATTACAATTGAACATAAGATTTGGGTGTGGACACAGATCCAAACCATGTCAGGCGTGATGGCACACTCCTGTGGTCCCAGCTACTCGGAAGGCTGAGGTGGGAGGACCGCTTGTGCCTGAGAATTCGAGGCTGCAGTGAGATATAGTCATGCCAATACACTCCAGCCTGGGCAAAGGAGTGAGACCCCATCTCAAAAAAAACAAGCAAAAAAAGAATTCTCTGAAGTTCATTGCATCCCACAGAATTAATAGTCATATTTCCTTAGGATGTGTATTTTTCTTGGTCTTTTTGATCATCTGCATATTTACTTCAAGAAGAAAGCATAAAGTGGTATCTGTTATGCCAGTAGGTCAACTAAGTAAAACAATATTTTTTATTTGTTTTGTGAAATTATGAAATAACTCTTTCTTAATATAAAGACTTGGTGTGCTTTTGGTCTCTTAATATCCATTCTGTAGAGTTCTGGAAACCTTAACACTACTCAGTGCAAACCAAATTTCAGAATAATGTGATCTTTATTACAACTTGCTGAGGACATGTGAATTACTTAACATTCTTACCTGGGCTCCAGGAAGAGCTTCAGACTTCCCTGAATGCCTTGGAATTATATACAGAATTCTGCGTGTTGGAGCATGTTTCTGGGTAGAGTCTGTGACTTTCATTGCATTTTTGAAGAGGTCTGTGATCACCAAAAAGATTAAAAATGATCTGAACAATTTGATTTTAAGGTGATCTCATCTTTTGCGTGAGCTTTGAGTGCAACAACATAGAGAAATCCAGTGACAGCTATAAAGATTGTGTTTCTGTTTTCTTTTGTAGGTTTGTTTGTTTTTAGGTTTAAATAGGCTATCTTATCTAAATACAGGTTGAGTCCCTTATTCAAAATGCCTGGGACCAGAAGTGTTTTGGATTTTGGATTTTTTTGGATTTTGGAATATTTGCACATACACAATGAGAGATCTTTGGGGTGGGACTCAAGTCTAAACATGTTTGTTTATGTTTCATATACACATAGCCCGAAGGTACTTTTATACAATGTTTTTTATGTTTTATGCACCTGTCACATGAGGTCGTGTGTAGTATCTTCCATGTGTGGTATCATGTGCTCAAAAAGTTTAGGATTTTGGAATACTTCATGTTTTGGATTTTTGAATTAGAGATGCCCAACCTGTACATGGTTTTTATTAGAATGATACATGTAATCTTGTTTTTTCTACACATAAAGCAACAACAGAAACTAGACAGACAAAACCCCAAAGTTTGTGTCTTCAGAATGTCGTTTATTTTGTTCGTAGTCTTCCCTTTTCCACTTGATATTTGCTTAGGAATTGTTAATTATTTACAGTGGGAAGAAGAGGCACAGTACTACATTTTGATACATAAGTTCAATTCACTTTTAAAAATACATGAATCCAGGCTGGCCACAGTTTCCTTAAGTTCTGTGTTTCCTTACTTACGTCTAGTTCTTGCATCCATTATTGAGAGTTGTGGTATTGAAGTCTCTAGCTCTTACTGTAGAACTATCTGTTTCTCTCTTCAGTTCTGTCAATTTTTGCTTCAAATATTTTGATGATGTTATTAGGTTAAATGTTCAATGCTTTTAATTTATAATTGTTGTATCTTCTTGCTGCATTGAACCTTTTATTAATATGTAATGTCTTTGTCTTTTGTAACCATTCTTGATTTAAAGTTTATTGTCTGATATTAGTGTAGCCACTCTTGCTCTCCTCTGGTTACTATTTGCATGGAATTTCTTTTTTCATCCTTTAATTTCCCACTCATTTGCCTTTGGATCTAAAGTGTGTCTGTTGTAGATAGCGTATAGTTGGGTCTTTTTTACCCCAGTCTGTTCTGCCAAACTGTCTTTGGGTTGGAGAGTTTAATCCATTTACATTTAAAGTAATTACTAATAAAGAGGGACTTCTGTCATTTTGCCATTTCTTTTTTTTTTTTTTTTTTTTTAGACAGAGTCTTGCTCTATCGCCTAGGCTGGAGTGCCATGGCGCAATCTCAGCTCATTGCCATCTCCGCCTACTGAGTTCAAGCAATTCTCCTGCCTCAGCCTCCTAAGTAGCTGGGATTTCAGGCATGCACCACCACGCCCAGCTAATTTTTGTATTTTTAGTAGAGACGGGGTTTCACCATGTTGGTCAGGCTGGTCTCAAACTCCTGACCTCGTGATCCACCCTCCTCGGCCTCCCAAAGTGCTGGGATTACAGGCGAGAGCCACCGCACCTGGCCAGCATTTGTTTTCTATATGCCATATAGCTTTTTTTCCCTCTCATTTCCTGCATTACTGTTTTTTTTTTGTGTGTTTAGTTCAATTTTTGTAGTGAAATGTTTAAGTTTCTCATTCCTTTCGTGTATGTCCTATAGCTACTTTTCTTTGCGGATACTATGGATATTACATTTAACATCCTAAAGTTGGGCCGGGCACGGTGGCTCATGCCTGTAATCCCAGCACTTTGGGAGGCCAGGGCGGGTGGATCACAAGGTCAGGAGATCGAGACCATCCTGGCTAACATGGTGAAACCCCGTCTCTACTGAAAATACAAAAAAATTAGCCGGGCATGGTGGTGGGTGCCTGTAGTCCCAGCTACTCGGGAGGCTGAAGCAGGAGAATGGCGTGAACCTGGGAGGCGGAGCTTGCAGTGAGCCGAGATCGCGCCACTGTGCTCCAGCCTGGGCTACACAGCAAGACTCTGTCTCAAAAAAGAAAAAAAAAATCCTAAAGTTATAACACTAATTTGAATTTATGTTACTGAATTTATACAGATTAATGCCAATAACTTAATAAACTGTGCTCCTTTACAGCCTCATCTATACGCTTTTTAGTTGTTGATGTCACAGAACTGCATATGTATACATTGTATTTCCAACAGACATAAAGTAATAATTATTTTAAATGCATTGGTCTCTAAAATTATATAGAAACAATATGTAGACACACAGACCAAAATTACAATAATACTAGTGCTTAATAATTTTTAAATTAATGTATTAGTCTCTTAAATCAAGTAGAAAACAAAAAGCGGAGTTACAAATTATTGTTACGTCATACTAGGTTTTGTAATTGCCCATGTATTGACTTTTTATTGAGATCTTTATTTTTTCATATGCCTTTGAGTTACTGTCTAGTGTCCCTTAATTTCACCTGGCAGGTCTCCTTTGTTCAATTCTTGCAGGGCAGGTCCAGTGGTAACAGATTCTCTCAGTCATTATTTGGGAATGTCTTAATTTCTTCCCCTCTTTTGAAGGACAATTTTGCTGAATATAGGATTTTTGGTTGGCATTGGTTTTCTTTTAGCGCTTTGGATATGTCAGCCTGTTACCTTCTGGCCTCCAAAGTTTCTGATGAGAAATCTTCTGATAATCTTATTGAGGATCCTTGTATGTGACCAGTTGCCTCTCTCTCGTTCCTTTCAAGGTTCTCTCTGTCTTTGTCTTTCAAAAGTTTGATTATAATATGTCTCAGTGTGGGTGTCTTGGAGTTCCTTTTACGTTGACTTCATTGATGTTTATATTCAAATTTAGGAAGTTTTCAGCTATTATTTTTTCAAATATTCTCTCTGTCCCTTTCTCTCTCTCTCTTTTCCTGGAACTTCCACAATGTGTGTGTTGTTCTACTTAATGGTGTCCCACAGGTCCCTTAGACTGTCTTCACTTTCCTTCGGTCTTTTTTCTTTCTGCTCCTCACACTTGATAGTAATTGCTATTGCTTTGTCTTCATGTTTGCTGATTCCTTCTTCTGTCTTTGAAGACATTTCTGTCTCATTTCTGTCTTTGAATCCATATAATGACTTCAGTTATTGTACGTTTTAGTTCTAGAATTTCTTTCTGGTTTCTTTTTAGGTATTTTATCTTTTTATGAGTGCAGGTGCTACGAGCTTACATTGATTTGAGTTTTCCACCACTGCAAAAGTGGTACATATTCAGTAGAAATCATGCTTCAAGTATGACCCATACAGCCGTTCTTTTTTTTGTTTTGTTTTTACTTTCAGTACAGTATTCAATAAATTACATGAGGCCAGGCACAGTGGCTGACACCTGTAATCCCAGCTCTTGGGAAGGCTGAGGTGGGCAGATCGCTTGAGCCCAGGAGTTCAAGACCAGCCTGAGCAATATGGTGAAACTCCATCTCTACTAAAAGTACAAAAAAAGAGCCAAGCATGGTGGTGCACACCTGTGGTCCCAGCTACTAGGGAGGCTGAGGTGGGAGGATTGCTTGAGCCCTGGGGGTGGAGATTGCAGGAAGCTATGATTGTGCCACTGCACTCCAGCCTCAGTGACAGACTGAGACCCTGTCTCAAAAAAGAAAAAAAAAATTACATGAGATATTTATTATAAAATAGGCTTTGTCTTAGATGATTTTGTTCAGAGTCTGTCATTGTCCTTTCCCGCATTGTGGAGGTCACATCCCAGAGCAATCCCCTCGTTCTCTGTAGGGAATATGAATCATTCCTCTTGCCTCTCTAGGCAAGGGGCAGAGTTCAGTAAGCCTGTGGGAGAATTCTCGACTTATACCCACATCATAAACGTCATCTGCTGAGGCAATGGTAATTACTCAGCTCTCCATATACCCTGGGCTGATGATGTCTGGTGGTATTGTGGGAGAAGGAACCTCTGTAACTTGTTACCATCCAGTTGGACCGGGACTTGTGCTTTAGTCCATTTGGCCATTCCCTTCACCCTGGTATTCCATAAGATAACCATAAATACAGATGGCCACCAAAACCAGAGAGATTTGACAAATTCTTTTAATCCCGTTATATATATGTTGACTTGATAGGAGTCCCTAGGGGGTGCATGATGAATTTAAGGCCCGAAACCAAATAGCTGCTGGGTTTGAATCAGCACTCTTCTGGTGGTCAACTATTAGTGAGAATGTGAATTGGATTACCTCCATCTATTATAATCCACAGATTCATCAGTTATACTTGGGATGCCCTCAAAGGGGTGACTAGCTAGTTAAATGCCATCAGCCGAATGGCCTGGAAAACCCAGCTTGCACTAGACATGATACTAGCAGAAAAAAAGGGGCATATGTGTGATGCTGGGTGGGAAATGTACTTTTATTCCCAACAATACTCTCCCAGATAGGATCATCACAAAAGCTTTACAAGGTTTGACAACTCTAGCTAGTGAGCTGGCAGAGAATGCTGGAATTGATGACCCATTTACAGGTTGGCTAAAAGGTTGGTTTGGAAAATGGAAAGGCATGGTAGCTTCAGTCCTTACATCTCTCATAATTGTGGCAGAAGTCTTACCAGCAGTGGGATGTTGTATTATCCTTTGTGTGAGGGGACTAGCACAGAGATTAATTAAGACAGCTATTAATAAACAAATGCCCATAACTTACCAGCAAAATAACCTGCTACTATTAAAAACCAAATTAGACTCACTCTCCTATGAGGAAGATAGTAAATGACTTCTAGAGTGATTCAAGGACCAAAAGGGTTCAAATGAAAATGAAACTAAAAGAAGTAAATAGAAAAGAGAAGGGAATTTGTGAGAAAACATTTTAAATGGTCCATTTTCAAGGCATGATAAACCTAAGCACTGGCAGCCAGCCTGCGAATGTAACAAATTACATGGCTTATGCACCTAGTGGGTCACAATAAGTGAACAGAATGTAGAGGAGGGGTCAGCCCATAAAAGGGAAGAAAGTTTCATTATTGTGAAATCAAAACTTAAGCGTGGAAAAGGACGGGGTAAGGGGGATAATAAAACTTAGGCGGCGTCTGGGAAGATTGCAACCCCATAGTACTCGACCAGTGAGGAGCTGGGGGAGGGACTTGTGTGCTAGGAGATAAATTGCCTGCTGTAGCTGCCCTGGGTGTGTCTGCCTACCAGACACCTGATATTACAAGACTGCTATTGAAAGTCTCACTTTCGCCTTTCCTCGTGCCTCTTGGTCCATTCTTTGGGTTTGGACTGATGAGTGTGTTTCTCACACTGGGGCTTATATAACATCCTTTCTTCTTGATACTCTTCTAAATCATTTATATGCATCTTGTTACTGATTTTTATATATTTAATATTTTTTAATATGTGTGTATTTTTTACAGTCTGCCTTAAGAGTTTGGTGGGATAAGTGGTAATAAAGCAACTGATTGAAATTTTATTTCTGGTATACTTTTTTCTTTCATATAGTGAGATTTTACATTCTTATAAGTGAGACATTTTAGAACTGTAAAATGGATTAGTAAAAGTTTTTGGAATGTTGACATTTTAAAAGTAATATTCTATGTTGAGAAATACATTTTAATTTCCTAGTATCAAAATGAGGAATTATTTTCATCTCAAAATGTTATTTTTAACTTTACATTTCTTGTTAAATAATAACAATGCCATATTTTCTTTCTTTTCTAGATATGGAATATATGAACGCTGTCGAGAATTGGTGGAAGCAGGTTATGATGTACGGCAACCGGACAAAGAAAATGTTACCCTCCTCCATTGGGCTGCCATCAATAACAGAATAGATTTAGTCAAGTATGTATTTTCTCTATTTTTAATTATTAGAACTTGACTTTTTATGGTTATAAAATTAATAGAAGTAATTGTTATAAAAACTAATACTTTCTAAAATTCATGGCTTTTAGAAGATAGATTCTGTGTACCTTGTTTTTCTGAAAAAGAAAAATTGCTTTTAACTTATATTGAATGCTTATATTAGCCAAGTACTGTACTGAGTACTTTTCCATATATGTTTTCTTTACTTCTTAATTCTTAATATAACCGTATATGAAATATAACAATTGTTACTGTCCTACTGCTGGCAAAACTGAAGCACAGACAGTTTAAATATACTACCCAGTGACCCACAGCTAATAAAGGTTGGAGTCAGGACCTGAACTCAGGCAGTCTGACTTGGTGTTCACATTCCAAATGTGGATTCTGTGGAGAAAACAGCAAAAGGAAAGTTGAAATGATAATAGGTAATAATAATCTGATTTAACTGTTCACACCAGCATAAGTGATGAATACTTTGCATACTAAGTGTAAAATGATTTTTATCCATCACTGTTAATGTTTGTTTAGTATTAATAAGAAATAGTTAGATAATCAAGAGTCAGGATGATAGGAAATCTCAGCAAATCTTGTTTAGTAGTCTTTTGACACTTTGGACACAAAATATTTACAGAAAGACATGAAATTTTGTTGTTGAGATGGGTTCTTACTCTCTCACTCAGGTTGGAGTGTAGTGGTACAATCTTGGCACACTGCAGCCTCGCCTCCCAGGCTCAAGCGATCCTCCCACCTCATACTCCCGAGTAGCTTGGAGCACAGGCGAATACCACCACACCCAACTAATTTGTGTTTTTTTGTTTTTGTTTTTGTTTTTTTTGAGATGGGGTTTTGTTCTCGTTGCCCAGGCTGGAGTGTAATGGCTCAATCTTGGCTCACCGCAACCTCTGCCTCCTGGGTTCAAGCAATTCTCCTGCCTCAGCCTCCCGAGTAGTTGGGATTATAGGCGGGTGCCAATAGTAAATGACGTATAGAGTGATTCAAGGACCAGAGGGTTTAAATGAAAATGAAATATAGGCCTGCGCCTATATAAATATAGGCATATGCCACCATGCCCAGCTAATTTTTTTTATGTTTTTAGTAGAGATGGGGTTTCTCCATGTTCATCAGGCTGGTCTCGAACTCCCGCCCTCAGGTGATCCACCCGCCTCGGCTTCCCAAAGTGCTGGGATTACAGGCGTGAGCCACTGTGCCTGGCCCGAATTTTTTGTATTTTTGGTAGAGACAGGGTTTCGCCGTGTTTCCCAGGCTGGTCTCAAACTCCTGAGCACAGGCAGTTCAACTACCCTGGCCTCCCAAAATGCTGGAATTACAGGCATTTGCCTCTGCGCCTAGCCAACACAAATGTAAAATGAACTAAATGAACTACTTGCTATGTTAAGTGCAACACACGGAGTGTAGAGACAAGTTGGATATTAATGCCAGGTAAGAGAATTCACCCTGAATTGCTACATTTTCAGTGCAGTGTCTCACTGTTCTCTAATTTAATTCCTGAGTCTCAAACTTTGAGGGTAAAGGTGCACTAAACGTACCTCTTGGCAAATGCAGAATGGTTGTGTGTTAAAATCAACATGGGACTGACACTGAAGTCAGAAATTGCCATCATATAATGAAGTTTAGGGACACAAGAATGAATCTGGACTTTAAGAGTTTGAATTTTAACTATAATTCTATTAAAAACTTGAGTAGCAGCATCTTAAGATTTAACATTATGGTGTACAAAGAAAGCGTTCGAGCACTGTCAGCTGCGTGATTGCTTCCATGTCAGTAAAACACTTATTTGTGATGCTAAGTAACTACTGACTTTCAGCGGGAATATATGCTAGAAAACACAATTTTTCTGCAATGTATTTATATTGACTTTCAACCATTGTTTCTGTTTACAGCCCAGGTACTTACTAAATATTTGTTGGTATCAGTTGTTCGTTGATGGTCCCTTCTGAAAACCTAGGATCATTAGTACCTGCCATAACATTGTTTGATAAAACCTTCTTAACAGTATATTGAGCAAAGAGGCTCAAGATTAAGAATTGTGCAATCTCAGAAGTTTGTAGTTTTGAGCTAAGGTCTTATAGCTACACGAAATAACATGTTATAAAAATATAATACTGAGAAGTTTACAATGAAAAGTAATAGAAGTTATTCTTTTTTTAGGATGCAGAAAAGTTCCCTCTCCTTGTGAAGAAAAAAAAGTTGTGCTTTAGAATCAGTTTGGAAATTGCTCACTGACATGGACCTAGTGATGATTTAAATTCTGCCATATGTCAGTAAAAATGAATCTCAGGAACAGTTGACTATAGAGAAGGGGATGAAATTGCTTTAGAAAAATTCTAGTTACGATTTTTAATAAAATATCATTTCCTACGAGAGTGGTTATTTTGGCTGAGCTTTGGGTTCTAGCCTACCCATTCTCAAAGAACATTTTCAGCATTATATATAATGTTTACCAAGTATCTTTAAAATGGATTCAGGAATAATTAAATGTTTGCGTTATTAATAGTTTAATATTCTGGAAATACTTTGTTAGGTTACTTTGAACCATTTTGCATGATAGAGTGGAATTGGGCCCTTCATTGCATAATGCTTTAAAAGCACCAATTTAAACAAATACTTATTTGCAGCCACAAATTTCTGAATTAAACACATAAGCATGAATAATCACAGGTTAAGAGCTATGTACATTAAGAGTAAATGCATTACTGATCTAGAGCAGTAATCAGAACAGTTTAAGAGTATACATATGTCAAGTATTTGATATCATATACCTTGGAATCATTTATATTCAGGATTCACTGCGTTAATTATTCCCAAAGAAAGCATTATAATGAACAGCTAGATCTTGTTCACTTCAGAAGCTATCAAGATGCTATGACAGCAGGGTGCGGCCGCTCACTCCTGTAATCCCAGCACTTTGGGAGTCCAAAGTAGGAGGATTGTTCAAGTCCAGGAGTTGGAGACCTGCCTGGGCAACATAGTGAGATGCTATCTTTCTCTCTCTCTCCCCCTCTCTCAAAAAAAGATATTATGATGTTAATATTAAGCTTACTAATCTAATACTAAAGTTGCTATTTCCTTTTCAAGCAACATGGCTTTAAAGGCACAAGAAATAACAAGGCATAGTAAAGAACCTTTATGTTATGTGTATATTATTTGATTTAATCTACAGTAATCTTAAGGAAAGTAAGGCTTAAAAAGCTGAGCTACCCAAGGTAGACCATGTCTTGCCTATTCTGCAACTATTCTAATTTCAAGTTTCTATATGCTACTATTCAAATCTTTGTAGTTCCTTGAGTACCTTCTTTTTTACGTGATTTTTTTGGCATTTTTATTCTTTTTTTTTTGTAACTTAAAAATTATTTTTCTTTTCCTTATTCTAGAACAAAAGAGGTATTTGATATAAAATTCTGCTAAATATGTTTTTTAAACAACCACAAAAGATTATTTATTTTCAAAGGTTCAAACTAGCATGAGATCTGAAATAGAAAACATGTATTTACATATTTTTCACAAAATTTCTTAAAATTGAAAATGAAAGTTATTTAAATTATTATAAATTTTGTCTTATAGATACTATATTTCGAAAGGTGCTATTGTGGATCAACTTGGAGGGGACCTGAATTCAACTCCATTGCACTGGGCCACAAGGTTTAAATTTGCTTCTGGATTTTTTTCCTTTGGTTCCTTTATTAGTATATAAATAAACAACTTTAAAAAAATGATATACTAAAATGAATAGGAGAGCTTATTATGCCGTTAGTTAATATCATAAATATGCTGATGTTTTATTGTGAAATATTACCTGTAAAGAAGCAAAAGTTTATTGTCCAAAGTTTCCCTGGCCATGCTGATATTAATTCAGTTAGTTATAAGATTGGATTAAACTTTGGATTTCTAAACGTAATATTTTTGCAGCCTGTATATATTTACAATGAAAGAATTAGCTCATTTCTTGGGATGATTGAGATAATATTAGAATGGACATAATAGAATATAGTAATTATTTACTATATATTTAAATAAGTTATGAGTACTTCCATACATTTTCAGACTGTTAATCTAGTTAAGACTTCTAAGAACCATAAAATCCTAAATGTATTTTGACATGTATCTATTTTAAAATAACTTTTCAAAATACATACGTAATCTTCCCACCATACCTTACTTGAAAAAGCTCTTCCCAGAGGATCCTGTTTGAAATAACTTTATATATCTAAGTGTTTATTCTTTTATGTTTTAGACAAGGCCATCTATCCATGGTTGTGCAACTAATGAAATATGGTGCAGATCCTTCATTAATTGATGGAGAAGGATGTAGCTGTATTCATCTGGCTGCTCAGTTCGGACATACCTCAATTGTTGCTTATCTCATAGCAAAAGGACAGGTAAAAAAAATCTCAGTGGTATGGATTTTAATCAGATGTTCTTCATAGTTTAAATGCCTAATATTATTGGTGTTGTAACAAGCCGTTGATATTTAAATAGCACTTTCTGATGGGTGAAGAACATAAATATAGTGAGTTTGATATGGAGATATTTAATGTACCTAACATAAAAGCCAGCATGAAAATCATGAACCAGATAATGATGAAGTTGGGTTTTTTATTTCTAAGAGTAATGGAGATAAAGCTCAGAAATTAAGAGAGAAAATATAAGTATCTATTTTTTCTTTATGTATTTTGAATATATCATCTGAATTCATCCAAACTTTTTTGAACTTATTTATTGGTTATTTTATATATTAAATATCTCTTGAGAGGGATACATTTTTTAAGATCAGTTTCTGCTGTATAAGATAATGCTGCTTCTTACTTGTCAGAAAAACATCATATTTTAAGTGGTTGTTCCTGATTTTTCTTGAGTGTGCAGTGACCATAATCACATTAAATATTACCAGTTTATATAATCATGTTTTTGTAATAAACGTATTTTGTTAAAAGTAATGTCACCCAGTTTTTCTTTAGTGTGTTTTTTCTGGTTATATTTGAACATTAATTTTATAAGTAAGGATCTCATCACAAGAATAACTTTAAGATATATGTATTTAATTTGTTGCTATCAACATGTATTTATTGTTAATTTAAAATTCTATGCGGATTTAGAATTTGAATACTATTTCTTTTAATGAAGGTTTTACAGTATTTGTTGTTGGCAGTCTCAAGCAGTGGCAGTTGTGTTGTGCATTATAGTTTAGGAAAAGAGGCATAGACTGATAAAGTTAATTGCTGGAAGGGGAGGGGGGGTTATTGTCTGTTACTGTGTTAAAAAACTACTGCCAAAATCTAATGGCTTAAGAACAATACCAACCAATTAATACGTCTCACAATTTTGTGGGCTTGGCTGGATGGTTTTTCTCCTTGGCTGGTGGCTGCAGTTGTCTGGCGGCTTGACTGAGCTGGAAGATTGGCTCACATATCTTGTGACTTGATAGGAATGGCTACAAACTGCTTAACTGGGAGGCTGGGGCAGCGAGGCCTCTTTCTTTCTCTATGTAGTGTCAGAACTTCTACTTTTCAATACCAGTCCATGTGGTCTTTCCAGCAGGAGAACTAGACTTCTTACATATTGGCTTAGAGCTCCCAAAAGAACAAAAGTAGAAGCTGTTTTGCATTTTTAAGTCTTAGGTCTTGAACTGACACAGCAACGTTTTTTCTCCATTCTATCAGTTAAAGTGAGTTAACAAGGGCCATAACCACCCGGAGGGAAGGGACCACACAAGGGTGTGAATACCAAGAGGCCAGGTTTATGGGGGGTCATCTGGAGAGCAACTGCTATAGGAGATTATTCTTGTTATTCTGCAGTTTTTTTCTAGAACAAACGTTGAAGCAGTAAATGGTGCTATAGCACATCACAAGGTCTTTAGTGGCCTTCCATATTGCAGAATAAATCTACAATACACATTCACTTTTTTACTTTCAGTTTTTAACTGGGAAAGAAAGGTGGTGTACATTTTTGAGTCTTCATGGTCTTTTTTTTAACTTATTGATTTTGGAGTTTGGATTATTTCATTAATCTTTTTAACCTCTGGTATAGTATATAGGCTATAAAATTCTCAAAGGGCAGGATTTCTACCTGTCAGTGCTTTTGGTACAAAAAGGGCATGATGATGATAATGATGATGATAAATGTCTGAGAAATAGTTTTTTTTTTCCATGAGTAAATTTTTTTTCTGCACACAAAGATAATAAATGTTTATTATGAAATATTCAGGCATAATAGAATATGACTTAGAAAATGAAATCTCACCTCTCCCCTTGGCCATCTGCTGACTGAGGTTACTTCCTTTAATAATGTAGTATGTATTTTAAGAGATTTTATTCCATGTACAGATTAAGCATCTGTAATCTGAAAATCCGGAATGCTGCGAAATCCAAAACGTTTTGAGTGTCAACATGATGCCACAAGTGGAAAATTTTACCCCTGACACCTTTGCTTTCCAATATAGTTCGTTGTACACACACTTTGTTTCATGTACAAAATTATTTAAAATATTGAATAAAATTGCCTTCAGGCTGTATGTATAAGGTGTATATGAAAGATGAATGAATTCCACATTTAGATTTTGGTCCCATTCTCAAGATTTTATTACATATATGCAAATATTTCAACATAGGAAAAACATACACATATTCAAACACTTCTGGTCCCAAGCA
This sequence comes from Homo sapiens, assembly GCF_000001405.40. Taxonomy (NCBI): domain Eukaryota; kingdom Metazoa; phylum Chordata; class Mammalia; order Primates; family Hominidae; genus Homo; species Homo sapiens. The sequence continues at coordinate 76,812,126 of NC_000012.12, forward strand.
TTTTACATAAAGGATACTCAACATGTATACACTAATATATTGTAAAAGACACTCTTCCAATGTGCATTGCATCATACTGTGAGGGCCCAGAGTTTTTCTCTGTGCTAGAGCACTGTGCCGTTTAACCCCTGGATACCTTTGAGCTCCACTTCTGCCATCTCCCCATCATCACTCTGCTTTAACTGCACTAGTTTTTTTTTGCTACTTTTTCAGCAACTCTGACATGCTGTTGTCTAAGGGCCTTTTGGTTGCTGTTTCTTCTGCTGGTATATTCTTTCCTCAGATAGTCACACAGTTTCTCTCTCTCTCTTCAGTCAGATGGTTGCTCAAATTTTATTAGTTCTGATTACATAGTTCCTAATTATAAGCAGTAATAAAATTAGCATATTTTTATTTCTTCTTCCCTTTCTCTTTTATCGACTGTAGTCAATAATATTGTTTTTCTTAATGTTAACTATGTTCTGATAAATTTTTACTACATTTTTATTACTTGATTTTTCAGCTTTAGATAGTTTTCTTTGATTCATGGCTACTATAGATGAGGCTCTCAGCATATTTTCATTTCAACCTTTTTCCATTTTCCCATTTTGTTGTTAATTATATCAATTTTACATTGTCAGGGTATATAACATTTCCATTCAGTTTTGTCATTCTATTCTTCACAATCGTTTTGTTTTAGTTATATTGTTAAATATATTTAGTGCTCACTACCAATTCTTTTGGATGATTTTCAGGAGAAAAAGGGGAAAATGCTAAGTTATGGAGCCCTGTTGATCATGGAATTCCCATAAGCTTTTGATCTGGGCTTGTTAATTCTTCCTAATAGAGAATACCCATACGTCCAGGCTGAACTTGGAAAAGAAGTACCAAGTTTTAAATCCCGACCCAAAGAGAGAAAAGGTTGAATTTCATTTTTCTTTTAGTACTCTAGAGATGTGCCATGATTTTACATTTTTTTATTTATTGATATTTTTAATACTATCATTTTTTAAAAAGGATATGAAAACACAACTAAGAAGAAGGAGAAACTTAAACATAAGAATTTACATGCTTGCTTTAATTAGACCTGAAATTTGGTTGAGGTCCTACGGAAATTAGGAGTAAAAGAAGTCACAATAGTTACTTCTCATATAAGAAATAAGGAAGTTTGTTGTTTCTTCAGAAAACATATTTTTTTTAAGCCACAGGATTATTTTAAAAAATGTACTTGCATATTGGAAATGTTGAGTGAGGTTGCAGAAGATATTCCTGACAACACTATTAAAGTAAATCCAGAAATGGATTTGTAATGGATAAGGCATAACATTCTATGACAGTATGCATGGTGAGTGACTAAGTTAATGACATCCAAGGAAATGCTTTACTTATCTAATGTAGTGGTTCTCAGATTTTTTTTCTTCAATATGCTTAGATAATGTTCACATTTGAGACATATTCCTATTGCTAACAGTGGCTCACAGAGAACTGATGCATAGAGATAGTGTTTTACAGTGTGCTTACTGTAACTCTCTGCTCTCTCCACTGATTGGTGAATTAGGTAACACAACTTGGATTAGAACTGCTTGCTTAATGTAATTCAGGAATGGGAGATGGGGTAGAGAAGAAGAAGAAACTTAATATTTATTGAATATCCATTATGTTCTCAGCTGTTGACTAGATGCTTTGCACACATTATTTAATCTTCACAGAAGTCTTATGAAGTTATTTGTATTTCACATTTTTTAATGAGGAAGCTAAGACTAAGAATTAAAGTAATTTAGCCTACAATCTCATAGCAATTATATGATGGAGCTAGGAAGTCAAAACCATGTCTTATTCTAAAGCCAAGCCTAGAAAAGTAGATAGATAAGCATGTCTTTTCCTTTAATAAATGGTTTTCGATCATCTACTCTGCTGGGCACTGAGAATACGAAGATGGATTTGAGATGATTTTTATTTTCAAAGTACTCCAGGTTAATGAGACACACATTTCAGGCATAGAGGATAATCAGTTCAGAATGGAGTGGGTTAGGAAAGGTAGTTTCAGAGCATTGAAACTGATAAGAGTCCCTGATACATCAGAAAGTCTTGCGCAAGGAGAATTAGATAACTAGGAAAGAGTTTCGGTTTAATAGGTGGAAGTTTTAGTTATAATTTGCTAAAAACTAAGTAGTAGTGGGGGAAAGATGGTGCCAGGGAAAGCAAAAAATTGAGTAGAAGAGGAAAAATAGTGGTTTATTACATGGTTTGGCTGGGAATAGTATTTATGCATATTTATAATAATACATATCAAGTATTAAATGTTTATATGAACCAGAATTACAATAGATCTCTTGAGAGGAAAGAATAGGAAAGGCGTGCATTTGTGATGTAGCAGAGAGGAAAGAGAAAAATTCAGATTTTTTGTACCAAGGAATTTCAGAATAATGCCTGAAACTGAAAAATCAAGAAGTAGCAATTCAAACATCTTATTTAAAGATATGGAGGTAAATATAAAAATAATGAGCCAAAAAATGGTGAAAATGGTGGGAAGTAAGGCAGGGGGATTGCTTTAGTGTGTTGCTTTTTCCACACAAACTGCAGAATCATTTAACTCTAAAAATGTACATGTGTAACAGTAAAAACTGAGTATATTAAAATGTCAGTTCTTTTTATTTTTTGTTTTGAAATGCCTAGGAATAAACAGTTTTGTCGTTCTCTCTTATGCATTAGTATAAACAAGTTTTTCAGAAACTTAATCACTTAACCTATCCTTTGTGGTTGAAAGGTCAGAATAGGTTAAGAATTTTAAATGTGAAACATTGAAAGGCTGATTAAAACATCTTAAAAGGGAATAATGTAAAAGCATGATATATGTTCACTAGAGTATATAGTGACAAGAGTTTCATTTTAAAGTTAAGAAAGAAAGTTTCATACATTATCCTTGATTGAGTAGTATTATATTCGCTTCTCCTTTTATATATAGATTAGATTTTTCCAAGCAAATTTGGTTAGGAACTTATAATTTAACTGTCTGACTTTTTTTCTTTTTACTTTATCAGGATGTAGATATGATGGATCAGAATGGAATGACGCCTTTAATGTGGGCAGCATATAGAACACATAGGTATGTAATGACTATAAAAAACTTATTTAGGCCATTTCAGCATAATACAATATGAAGTAAGAGAGAGGAAAAAGCAGTTAATACTATACTCACTAATATTTACAGTTTTTATTATGACTATAGTATATATAAATTACCATTTTGGATGTTCTGGTATCTCTGTGCTGTCTCTCCCTCACTGATTAGAGCTTCCTTAATCTGTTTCTCTTTTAACAATATCTAAGAAAAGAAGTTATCTTTTTTTAAAAATTAATTAATTTTTTCATGTGATTTACATATTGACAAATTTATTAATTAGTAAGTTGTCTTAGATCACTTTTGGAAGACTCCAAATTTAAATTTTAAAAAGTGTTATTCTTGAATTGTATAAGTATTAATGCCATTTCTAGGTCAAAAATAGAAAATATCAGGACCAAGTTGCTTATCCCCTGAAACTATTAATATATTATTTTATATGGTGTCATACATACTTAATACTTCATATTAGAATATTGTCTCATTATTGATTTTAAAGTTGTTGAGTAGGTTAGAAGTGTTCCAAAATGGAATGCTACTGTAAGCATAATCAGTTTAGTATTTGTAATGATTTCTATAATTGAAATTAGGGTTGTTGTTGTTGTTTGTTTTTTTTTTTTTTCCTTTTCAGTGTGGATCCAACTAGATTGCTTTTAACATTCAATGTTTCAGTTAACCTTGGTGACAAGTATCACAAAAACACTGCTCTGCATTGGGCAGTGCTAGCAGGGAATACCACAGTCATTAGCCTTCTTCTGGAAGCTGGAGCTAATGTTGATGCCCAGAATATCAAGGTAAAAATATTCTATATTGATAATACTGTATGAAATGTGGCTAATATGTGAATTCTGTAATAAAACAAGTTTTTCATAGACTGTCAGAGTTGAAAGAAACTTCTTCAATACAGGTTTACAGTTAAACCACATTATGCATAATACATTTTAATAATTCTTTGACTTGGTTATTTTATTGTCTTATTTTTTTAAAGATCAAGAGATTTAAATTTGATAAATGCCTTTATGGTGTTGATAGGAGGACCCCCACCCCACCATGGTGGACTAATCCAGGAAAAGTTACAACATTATTTAAGAGCCAAGCACAATTAACATTTGCACTCTAAACATTTAGAAATCAGTAAACATTTTATTAATACATGCAATAAGATTCTATTGCTAGTCTCAAAATTTTGGTTATTTCTTTTCATTTTTAAAGCCTCAGGATCCACCATGTCTTTCAGCAACGAACTCGTTCTGCGAAATTACTTTAAACATCATCTTTTAATCATATGCATTCATAAGTAACTATACCCATTGACAAATGTTCTTTAATTTTGGCTATAATTTATAGTATTTTCTGTGTTATGTTTCTTAAATTTCTAAGGGATATGTGCTAATTAAATATGAAGGGGGTTCAGGACACATACTAATCTGAAATGGCCAATCAAAAAGTAGGTTATCTCCTGCTGGATCAGGGTATCTCTTTATGTTCCAAGGAATAGTTTGTTCTTCCTTGATTCAGTTACTTTAAGAGGAGAAGGATAAACTTCTAAAATAAAATAGTTTAGGCTAGTTTTATGGAGCATAATTTGTTAAGCTTATCAATTTTTAGAAATAGTCTAATTACAAACATTTAGTTAAAAGTAAATTAATATTGGAAACCATAAGAGATTGATAAAATCATGTATATTTTTCTTTCTTCTAAAAAAATTTCAAGTCTTCTTGTCCCTAACAAAAGTGATCAGAATAGTTCCATATCTGCCACTAAACATAGGGAAAGAAGAAAGTCAGCATATCATAGTGCCTGATAAGCGATGGGCACTCTAGGTATTTACTGACTGAGTAAATGAAGATTTATGTAGTCTTGAGTTTTACCTAAGGTAGTTTTCATGACTGCTGGGATACCTCTGCCACTTCAGAAATTATAGAGAGAAATGTTTGCTTTTTGAATGTTTTTAAATAGGATGCTCTTAAAAGTTTATAACACTGGAATGAGTAAATTGGCTGATCCCAGGTCTGAAGGTTAAGAAAAGAGAAGTTTGACTAAACCTGATCAATATACTTAAAAGAAAATTATGTGAGATTACCTCATGTTTTTTTATCTGAATTCAGAGTGTTACTACTTTTTTTTATCTTTGCTACCAGACAGCCATTCCTAAGGTGATCATGCACGAGGAATACATTTAAAGATACTTAGTATTATTGAAAAAACAGGATTAATTTTAGTTTGGCAAATAGTAAGACTCTGTAGACCTTCTGCCAATAGCCATATCAGTATACTGAAATTATAGTAATACCAAAGAATTATGACAGTAAGATGACTACACAGTTCTGGAGTTTGAAACTAGTAGTGTGTATTTTTAGAGCTTTTAAAAGTTTATTTTCTGTTCATATAAAATTAGGTTAAATTCAGTCACAGTCATTGGGATTTGAGGTATGTTTTTAAATTCAATGTCTTTTCAAGTAAATAATGAAGACTTGTACTTCTCATTAGCCATTGCGTAAACTTTTAAATTACTCTTAGTAAAAGGAATAATCTACAGCAAATTTCAACAGAAAGTTAATGATAAGAGTAGAGATATTTAAAATTATTTAAATGATTTTGAACTTTGTATTTTTAATGTTTTATAGGTTCAGGCACAAGAATTATTTGGTGCCAAGAAACAATGAAATAGAATGTAACTTCCTTAACTATTATTGTAGTTCATGCGAATACTTTCCAGAGTCTACAGTGTCTATAATTGAGCTAATTATTGTACCTTAGAGCTTTTAAATTCATTTTTTTCCAGTTATTTTCTTTTTATTAATGTTTTAACTTTATCTGTCACATGTAATAGAGGTTGGCTATTGACAAAAAATTTTTCTCATGTAATTCCCTGGTAGCTTCTGGAGTGATGGTACTTCTAAAGAAAATAAAGTCTAAGGAATTATTGTATTTGCTCAGGGAACATTTATACTTTCAGGGGAAAAATTACCTGTATCTACACTGGTGACAAAGTAGATTTTTGTTTTAAAATGCACTTTATATGTAATTAAAAAGATGAAATGAGTATCAAATGCCTTTTTTAAAAATGGGGATCTGCCTCAGAGGCATTCCCAACATACTTAAGTCTTATCACCTTCTAATAGAAACCATGTATTTATTCGTTCAGCAAATTCTTATTCAATGGTGGGTGGTGGGGAGTCACATTGTTCAAGACAGATAAGGTCTCTATTCTTTCAGAATGTACATTCTGTTGAGGAAACAGCCAGTAAGTGAATAATAATAAAAGGCAAATGTGATAGAATGACTGGGATGGAAGGACCACATCCAGTGAGAGTGATTTGGGAATGCCTCTGAGGAGATGACATTTGCTTTCAGAATTACGTAATGAGAAGGGATCAGTTATACAGAGACATGTGGGAAAAAATTTTCCTTGTAGAGGAACATGCAAGTGCACGGTCCTAAACAGGAGTAAGATTGCAGTATTTGAGGTGCAGAAATAAGGACAGTGTGGCCAGAGTACAGTGAGCAAGATGGTGAAGTCACTTGAGAAACACAGGTGCTGTATCATGCAATGCGATAATAAAGAGCTTTAATTGTATTCTCAGTCATGGGAAACATTTGAAAGGATTTATGTAGGCTGATTATATGATCTGCTTTTTGTTTTAAATATTTTTTAAACATTACTTTGGTTGATGTATGGAGAATGCATTGAAGAGTTAAGAAAATGGAAAAGATGGAGATCAGTTAGGCTGTTGCAATAAATCAGACAAGTGATAATGTTAGCTTAGCCTAGGATCAGAGGAGTAGAGGTAGAGAGAAATGACTGGATTTGGAGAGGATATTTTAAAGTAGAAATAAGAAGGTAGATTAGGTGTGAGGATAAAAGAAACCATCGTTGATGACTTAGGTTTTGTTTTGGGTAACTGAGCGTCTTGTGATATCATATGTTGAGATTGTGAAGACTGAAGAAGGACTTTTTGGGATGAAGGTGATAGGAATTGGTTCTGTTTGGTAATATTTAATTTGAAGTGGTGTCTTAGCCGTGTGAACTATTAAGCTAATTAAGTAAACTTAAATTGCTGCCAATTTTGAAAAGGAAACATTTATTTTAAAAAAATACCTAGAATATTTGTCCAGGAATCTAACCAAATTTATTTATACCTATGCTTTTTCCATTTTTAAGTCTTAAGAAAGAATCTTGTTGATAATAGTGGATTGTAACGATAAGATGCAGCCTGCAAATCTGGCTATGGCTTTAATAGCTATAAAAAGTTATATTTTTCAAAGAATATGAAAAATTACGCTTTGTGTTATAATAATTCTATAAGATCCCCTTTCCCTAAAATACCTATTTTCTATATATGATTAAGTGTCTTAGAAATCTTTCTTTATATTAACTAGAGATTTACCTTCACATATTAGTTACTCAGTTCTTTTCATGTATAAACAAACGTTCCTTTATCAAAACAAGATAGAACTTATTTTAAAGACAATTTATACTAAATGAGGCCGGGCACTGTGGCTCATGCCTGTAATCCCAGCACTTTGGGAGGCTGAGGCAGGCGGATCACCTGAGGTCAGGAGTTCGAGACCAGCCTCAACATGGAGAAACCCTGTCTCTACTAAAAATACAAAATTAGCCGGGCGTGGTGGTACATGTCTGTAATCCCAGCTACTCGGGAGGCTGAGGCAGGAGAATTGCTTGAACCTGAGAGGTGGAGGTTGCAGTGAGCCAAGATCGTGCCATTGCACTCAAGCCTGGGCAACAAGAGTGAAACTATGTCTTAAAAAAAAAAAAAAAAAAAAGACAATTTATACTAAATGATAGGTAACTTTAAAATTGCTGTTTTCATCTCTGGAAGGATCAGGAATAGCTGTATACCCTAGGTTTTTTTATCTGGAGTCCCCCCAGTAGACTTTGGTTGGAGGAGGTGTGGGTCCATGGACCCCTGAAATTGTTGAAAAAAAGTTACTTGTATCAGCATTCTTCTGGGAGGAAGAAAAGTGGCTGTCATCAGAAAAGACTCAAAAGAATTTAAGAACCAAGCCCCTAGATAATAGCTACATGAAATAGCTTTAAATCTCTTCTTGTAAAGCAACAACAGGGGAAACAAATGATTTGGAATACTAAGAATAAAAAACAAAACACAATTATGGCCTACCCAGTAATCCCTTTTGTGGTAGTATCTCATTTGTGATTAAAAAAATAATAATCCTTAGCATATGTTTTTGGTTATACTGATAAATTTAGATGAATTGAGTTTGGAAGGAACAGTTAATCTCTGAGTGCTACACAAGCAGTTATAATCTTTTCTTTCTAAAATTATCAAAGGGCATAGTTTTTAGCTTGTACAGAATATAAAATTACTGAGCTCTGTTCATTAATGTATTGAAAGACCTCTTGAAATGAGGTAAGAAACTGTTTTTAGAAAATAGTTTTGTATTACCTCTTAAATACCTGACCTAAATGGTCACCAAGGAAAAATTTTTTTAAAATTTGACGATGAAATTCAACCTTACGTAGGTGAAATGTTGAGTGATCTTACCCCCAACCATAATGTTTATCTGACCAAAACCTTTGAATGATTTCTTTTATTAACAGTTACATAGTCTATAATTACTCCATGTAGATTCTTGCTGTTGTTGCTATTGTTAATATTATTATTTTGGCTGAGACATGGAGTGATCAAATAGATATAGACTTAACTCAGAACCCTGGTTTTAATATACTTCTTTAAATGAATTGAGTGTTTATTTTACCAGCTGAATAAAAGAACTATACAAAAATAGTTAGATGACTGGAGGAGTAGTTGAAAGATATTTTAAAGCTCCCTCAATCTTTTTGTCTAGGCAATCCTTAGGTGTCACATGGCCCTCTAGTGGAAGGGATGCTCAGCTGGACCGAGGCAACTGCAGGATATTCCCGGGGAGTTGTTACCCAAGGGATTGCTTTTATTCAGGTAATCTTTATAGTTTGGATTAATTAGCTGGTTCTGACAACTTAGGTGATGGAATTTTGGAATAGGTAAGGCAATATTTTAAAGTAAATATCCCTATTTGTGGAAGACTCCTAGATTAGCCCATTTCTTATTAAATACCATTGATCTTTATATTAAAGGATTGGTTGGGCTTTTTGTTGTTTTGTAATAGTTGTTGCTGTTGGTGGCAGTGGTGTGTTTTATTTTGTTGTTTATTTTTATTTTATAATATTAAATAAACTATACTTAATAAGTAATCATCCCTCATAAATAAGGCACCCCAAGGCTCTTTATTGCTTTATTCTTTTTGACCTTGTTTTTGGAAATAAAATTTCAGTGGTTTTACTTTTTAAAAGTAATTTTGAATATTCATCTTTACATTCTTGAAACTTTGGTAAGCATTTAAAGTTTTGCTTTTCTATTTGAAGAAGTAGATAAATAGTGGAACACATTAAATAAATGGAAATGTAGGTGTCTGACTAATTTGCAAAAGGAGAAATAAGATTTTAAATTTTAAATTAGTTAAGGCAAAAAGAAGCATAGACCTAAAATTGGGAATGCTTATTTGTTTCTTACTTTGATACATTTTATTCCTATCATGTAAATTCCCTGGCATTCTTTTTCTTAGGATTAAAGGGAGATACAAATTCATAACTTGAATTTGCTATTTTTTAAAATCATTTCTCGTTTACTTTGGAAACTTCTGGGTGGGTGAATGAATATAAATCAAGAATGCCAGTACAATAGTGGTAGAAGTAGAGACTGACTTTTCCTTTTCTTTCCTATTCTCTTCTGAAGACTCCTATCATTGTTGAAATAAAACTGAGAGATTTCTGGCAACTTGATATTATAGCAAGGTGTTTTGTAGCAATAACTATTACTAATGAAATTTTTAAAGAATATGAAATAACTGATAAACTTAGTGATAGCCTCTGATCCAGCAGGTACTAAAATACCTACTTTTTGATTTGCTCTCTAATATGTCAAAATACAGGCAAAAATAAAATCTACGGAATATGATGAGAAAATACATTTTGTGATTATTCTTTGGGAAAGCGTAATAAGAAACATGTAATGATGCAGGTGTTTTTAGTAATTTACACAATGTCAAAACAACGTTAATAGGGCAGTAAATTAATTTTTATAGAAGTTCTTTAAAGGTAACTAAGATAGCCTGCTTTTAAACTTTTAATAGGAATTTCTTCTGTTTATATTATCAGGGCGAATCAGCGCTTGATTTGGCAAAACAGAGAAAAAATGTGTGGATGATCAACCACTTACAAGAGGCAAGGCAAGCAAAAGGATATGACAATCCGTCCTTCCTTAGAAAGCTGAAAGCTGATAAGGTAAACTCATAACTGAAGATTTTTTTTTTTTTTTTTTTTTGAGACGGAGTTTCGCTCTTGTTGCCCAGGCTGGAGTGCAGTGGCGAGATTTTGGCTCACTGCAATCCCTGCCTCTCGGTTTAAAGTGATTCTTGTGCCTCAGCCTCCTGAGTAGCTGGGATTACAGGTGCCCATCACCATGCCCAGCTAATATTTGTATTTTTTTTTAGTACAGATGGGGTTTCACCGTGTTGGCCATGGTGACTTCAGATGACTTCACCTGACTTCAGGTGATACTCCCACCTCGGCCTCCCAAAGTGCTGGGAATACAGGCATGAGCCACCGCGCCCAGCTGAAGATTTTCGATATATAATTTTTTAAGTAGGATTCTTAGGAACACTTACTTAGCACGAGTATTTACAGCCTTTAATTTTGGCATTTCTCAATGTAATTTTTAAAATATTATTATACTCAGAATAAATGAAGGTAAATAACAAAGTTTCCAAGGGCTCTTACCTACGTGGTTGGTGACCTTTTGGGGCTAATAATTAAGAAGGATGGGTATATATGAAATTATTTAAATCTCCATCGGCTACTCGTGTACATTTTGGTTCATTGATTCAACTGGCCTTTGTTAAGTAATAGATAAAAATAAAGGTTTTTCTAGTGAATGCTTGTTTGTTAGTATGATAATAAATTGTGAAATAGCTTAGTTCTAATACATATCTTTTTAAACTACTCACAACTCCAGCTCTAACTTGAGCTTTGCATTCTTTTGTGATATGTTGTATACCTTTTTTCAGAGAGCTTATATTCTTGACCTTTCTATGGAAAACTCATTTTAGATCATCCATATACCTTCAGTTTTAAATTGTATGACTGTTGGCTCAGTTGCCTGATTATATGATACTAAAACTTAGAATATTTTCCCCCAGAGAGGGGGTCTAGGTTCTGCACAATCTTATTTCCCACAAAAAAGAAGTTAATTGCCGTAGAGTTTCTTTATGTACCTAAATAATTGTCAAGATGTCTGCTAACTTGTCAGTAATCACAACTTGAGTAGCATTAAGTTTTGAGTACCATCTTTTGTATATCGTGTTTAGGCTGTTCTAGTGGCAATGTTGATTATTTAAAGTTAATATTGATCTATCTGTTACCAAGGCAAAAAGACAAATTTAGGATAAAGAGAAGCAGTCTTGAAAGCAGTGCCTCCTTTATTTATAGGAGTTTGGACTTCTTTAATCAGTTGAAAAGTCCCCTGGTCCGTTACTTAGAAGAATTAGATTCATAGTTTATAAACTTGGCTGTTTTCAGCCCTATAAGCTGAGACTAATGAACAATTTTTGCATGCCATGTTAACTCTTCTGTTTAATTATTAGATATGATATAGAAAATGATTTATTTTGTGTTGCTCAGTTTTCTAGGATTTAGAGCAGTTTTGCTCAACAGAGTGAAAAATGGCTGTCTTATGATAATTAGGCTAGTAAAAAAAAATCTTGTGTTACTTTGGAAAATCCCACAATATTGGCACTTTCGTTTTGTTGAATGTGAATATTTTGAAGTTTTATTTTATATATGTATATTCACACACACACATATAGTCATAAATGACTTACAAATTTTAGATGTTGCATTAATATGTAAAGTTACTTATGGCATTATTAAACTATACATCAGGTTTATGTGTTTGGATATGATTTTTTAAAAAGAACTTCATTAAAAGTTTAGTGCAATTTTAACATTTGTATACGATTGTGGTCAGTTCAGAAATGGAGTTTCTTTCCTGTTTTTTTTCATTAGTAGCTTTAAATATATTAAAATTTTTATAAAGGTTCCTTTTAAAGCCTATGATGATTGGGAGAGTGATATTTAAAGGTTGAAAGTAACCATCATATATTTAAAAATTATGATGATTAGGGGACCTGTGAGATTAAGCATCTGTAATTATGTAGACTGTTCTTTCTTTTTCCATGTCACATTGGAAAAGTTTCAGTCATTAACATGTTTTGATTTGCTAGCCTGTGAAGTGTGTTTTATATTTAAAACTAAAAAAGAAAGTAGTGACACCTAAGACTCAATAGTGTTTTATTTTAAAAAGTCATTCCCTTAAGAAAAATAAAAATATCATTCCAAAAGGGGGAAAATATTTTTGAATACTGCTGGTAGACAGATAAAGATGGAATCTTTAGCCAGGCGTGGTGGTGCGCCTATAGTCCCAGCTAGTAGGGAGGCAGAGGCAGGAGGATTGGTTGAGCCCGGAAGGTTGAGGCTGCAGTGAGCCAAGATCATGCCACTGCACTCCAGCCTGGGTGACCGAGTGAGACCTTATCTCCAAAAAAAAAAAAGAAAGGGGGACAATATTTTTAGAAAACAATTTAAAAAATCTTAGATTTTTACTTAGAATATTAAGTAAAAGGATTTTAAATATCTTAGATTTTTTACTTAGAATATTAAGTAAAAGGATTTTAGACAGGCATATTTACGGTTAAATAAATCTTCTTAATAAGTTGGAGGGACATCTTTAAATTAGTATTTAGAGGGGATTTGGGAGTAGGAGGGAAGTTGGCTATAAAAGGGCAATATGAGGAATCCTTTTAAGTAGTGGAAATATTCTGTAGCTGGACTATATCAAGGTTAGTTTCCTGGTTGTGACATGCTACTGTTACCATTGTTGTGATATGCTACTGTGATACGCTAGATGTTACCATTGGGGGACAAAGGATATTTAGGATCTGTCTGTATTATTTATTACAACTGTGTGTGAATCTATAATTATTCCAAAATAAGAAGTTTAATTTAAAAAGAGGCTTCTGAATCTAGGTGGTGGATAGACTTCACTATATAATTCTTTCACATTTACTATATAGTTGAAAATTTTCCTAATATAAGAGAAAATAGATTTCTCACATAGCAGCACATTACCATTATATTTTTATAGTACCATTTTATGTACCCATACACTCTCTGTCTCCTGAGTAGTAAATCTTCTCTAATGTCTTGATATAAAGTTCATACTTATTAGAAAAAAGAATTGGATTAGTTATTTTGCTGCAGCATAAAATTAAAGCCTGAAATTGATGTTTAATTATTACTCTAAGTTAAAATTACACATTTAGTTCAGAAAATGAATTACAGTGGTCAAATTGGGGAAGACATGGTCATTTATATGAAAAAAAAAAATCCCACTTATTTCAGTGGAAGCTGATAGTATGAAAGGGGTGCTAAAAATGTGTAATATAACCTTAGCTTTTAGGAAGATAAATATTCAGTAAGGAAAGCAGTGTTCATACTCTGCTTTGTTAGACCACAGCTGGGGTTTTCTTTTTTCTTTTGGTGTGTGTGACAGGGTTTCATTTTGTTGCCCAGGCTCACGACAGCCTTGACCCTTGACTTCCCTGGGCTCAGGTAATCCTCCCACCTCAGGCTCCCGAGTAGCTGGGATACAGTACAGGTGCGTGCTACCATGCCCAGATAATTTTTGTATTTTTTGTAGAGACATGTTTTTGCCATGTTGCCCAGGCTGCCCTACAACTCTTGGGCTCAAGCGATTCTCTCGTCTAGGCCTCCCAAAGTGTTGGGATTAAAGGCATGAGCCACCATGCCCTGCCTTGAATATCTTACATAGTTTTGTGACCTAAGGTAACTGAACAGAGACTTGATAACTGGCTATAAGTTTGTGAAGGGCTCTTACATGGAAGAGGCAGTAGACTTTCTTTGGTTGCTATAAAGATAAAATTGTGATAGAAGTTACCAGGAGTTATGTAGGTTTTATACTTACAAGTATGGACTTTAACAACCAGACCAGTACAGAAATGAAATGGAAATACCTTTGGAGTATTGAGCACTCTGCCTTGATCTTTGTTCAGAGACACATCTCTTCATTCAGTGAACTCTAGGAGCCTATGGATTGTTTGCTTTTATTCTTTATCTCATTTTAAGATTTTAATATACTATTTATCATTTGAAATGTCTACTCCAGGCAAGCATCTTCAGGTTTCCTTATGTGTTATAATTCTTATACTATTAGTCATTCTAGTTGTCCTTGTCTCCCTGGTTATCAGTGCCCCTGTTAAAAAGGGGTGGTATTTTTCATGAACTGTTTGCTAGCCAGTGTATGTGTTAAGCAGGTAGTACTGTCTTCTATATTTAACCATATAGAACCAACTGCTATAACTTCTGTTCTTATTTTCCACAATTTTAGCAAAGTTATTTAAAATTGTTCATTGCCTGTCTCCAGAAGACAGACACCAGCACCTTGAATAGTACTGATACATAGCATGCAAATTTGAGTGAATGAATTTCACCCGCTGTTGCATGCCTTCACAAAGGTAACAATGATTCAGATTGAGATTACTTGAAACATGCAAAAACTTTTCTAATTTTTTGTTTCTATACAGGAATTTCGGCAGAAAGTAATGTTAGGAACTCCTTTCCTAGTTATTTGGCTGGTTGGGTTTATAGCAGACCTAAATATTGATTCTTGGCTCATTAAAGGGCTAATGTATGGTGGTGTTTGGGCTACAGTACAGTTTCTTTCAAAGTAAGTGTGTTGTTTTTAACTATATTTTAAACTGTACATGAAATAATATAATTTGTACTCTTGTATAAAATTAATGTTTGTATGTTGTACATTTGATCTTAATTTATTTAAATAATTTAGACATCTGTATGTGAAATATGAGATTTTTTAAACATTGTTATGTTATTAAAATGATTCAGAGGCACTTTAATGATAAAAGCTAGCATATAATTTTTAACACTAAAACATAGTTTGAGAAATATTTGAAATATTTCAGTAAAAGTGAATTTGAGTCTGTTGAACTCTAACATACATATTGTTAATTTCCAGGTAATTACAATACTTGAGCTCGCCTTTCTATAGGAATTATATTTTCCTGTAGAAAATAAGGCATAAACAATAAGCAAGGAAGAGGTTTTATTTCTAGTAGCAAGGTAAAGTCTAAGCATAGTTGTGAAGTCGGCTGAGTTTTTAAGATTATTTTCTCCCTCTTTTTTCTTTAAACATCATGATCATTCCGTTTTCTTCTTATTCTTAAGTCTCATTGCTCTAAAGTTACCTATCCAACAAACCTAGACAGGTGTGTGATCCAGAATTTCCCATCTAATTTCCAGTCCTTTAGTATCTTATTTTCACTTGCATTTCAGAAAAGAATTCTGAAAATAATTCACACAGAGATGAGAATGACTAGTATTATAATATGCTGAGTGGCTTAAATCTAGTTAGTGAATCTCATTTTAGTATTTCTAGAGTCTCCAAGGGGTATAAATAGGAAGTCACTAAGACCTCCTGCCTATATGGATAGTTGATTCTGTTCATGTTTAATAAATGGATTAATGTTTGTTTTTCCCCAATTTTAAGTATTAAAAACACAACTCTTCAGTTTCACTAAGTTGGCCAGTTCATTCTACTTGAAAAGATGTGCTCCAACTTTTGCTGGAGTGTTATAGGTAAGGAGAAATAATGATGAAACAGAGAAAAATGTGAGGCTTGGTTTGGATTCATTTGTCAAAATTTTGACACATCTTTGGTGAATAGTATGCTGGATGATAGCTACTATATATACTAAAGTCAGTTATTGACTTTAAGAGAATAGGAGTGCGCTAAAATTCTGAAACTGAAAAGTATATGGAATGTAATTTAAATTTGGGGGGAATTAAAAGGAACTTCAGAATCTTGCTGAGTCTTTCAGCTGTGAACTAATTTTTATTGATTACTATGAAAAATTGAGCATCCTGAACTCTGGATTCTGGTGAAACCAATGCTTACTATACAAAATGTGTGTCATTTTCATTTAAATAAATACTCATTTTTACAATGAAATATAGAGCTCATATTTTATAAAACTTGTGTTTTACAGATCCTTTTTCGATCATTCAATGCATAGTGCATTGCCCCTTGGGATATATTTGGCAACCAAATTCTGGATGTATGTGACGTGGTTCTTCTGGTTTTGGAATGATATCCTTTGGTTATAAAGATCATACCAAAAACAAATTTTGTTTGTTATTTGAATAGATGTTTAATAATTTGACATTAGGACTGATCTACTCATTCATAATACATTAAAATAGTGTTCCTAGAAAATTTAGTAAACTAATATAAGTAATGTTTTTAAATATTTAATAGGTTGCTTTTGAAAGCTGTCTTTAATAACAGCATATAAATAATAGTAGCTATCATTTATTGAGTGTTTAAAAGGCATTTTTTGACTACTCATTTAATCCACATTTCATAAATTAGTATTGTTATCCCCCTTTTCCCCCTTTTTGTTCCATATTTTTTATTTTTATAGATTCAGGGGTTACATGTGAAGGTTTGTTGTAGGGATATATTGTGTAATGGAGAAAAGAACAAGCATCCTCATTTCAAAAAATGGGTAAAGGACACAGACACAGACAGACATTTCTCCAAGGACATACAAGTGGCCAAACGTGAAAAAATGTTGGACATCACTAATCATCAGAGAAATGCAAATTAAAACTACAATTTCACACCAGTCAGAATAGCTATTTTTAAAAGGTCAAAAAGCAATAAGATGTCGAGGATGCAGAGAAAAAGGAACGCTGTTGGTGGGAATGTAAATGAGTACAACCTCTATGGAAAACAGTATGGCGATTTCTCAAAAAACTAAAGATAGAACTAATGGCTGGGCGCTGCGTCTCACACCTGTAATTTCAGCACTTTGGGAGGTCGAGGTGAGTGGATCACGAGGTCAGGAGTTTGAACCAAGACTGGCCAATATGGTGAAACCCCATCTCTACTAAAAATACAAAAATTAGCCAGGTGTGGTGGCACGTGCCTGTATTCCCAGCTACTCGGGAGGCTGAGGCAGTAGAATTGTTTTAACCCGAGAGGCGGAGGTTGCAGTGAGCTGAGATGCACCATTGCACTCCAGCCTGGGTGACAGAGTGAGACTATGTCTCAAAAAAAAAAAAAAAAAAAAAAAAAAAAAGAACTACCATTTGACTCAGCCATCTCCATTTTATACTTGAGAAAAATTTAGGCTTAATGAGTCTTAGTCTCTAATCAAGTTGGGATTGAAACTTGTATTTTTCTAACTAAGCATATTTTAAGCCTTTCTACCAAATGGTGATTTTTATGTTTTGGTATCAAACTATTTTCGCTAAATATTTTTTTAATACCACTACTTATTTTGTTGTGGTAAATAAGAGTTAATCTTCTCACCTCTTTTGCCTTCATGAAAAGGTGTTTCATCTCTTTTGCCTTCATGAAAAGCATGTAATGCTGTATTTTCACATATTTGCTAACTTGAGCAAATTAACAGTGTAGTATACTTACCCTATTTAAACAAAATTTTAATTTTTTTAACCTGTTCCCCAGGTTGGAGTGCAGTGGCACAATCATGGCTCACTGCAGCTTGAACTCCTGGGCTCCAGCAATCCGTCTGCCTGAGCCTCCCAAGCAGCTGGGACTACAGGCGTGCACCACCACGACTGGCTAATATACTTTTTAAAACTAATATAATTGAAATTGTAACTGTGCCTGTGTGCCAATAAAGACAGCAAGCCAATGCCAATTTTTGATATTTTACATAGAAAAAGTTCAGTCAGCAAGTTAGACTGATTTATTGTAATAAAGGAACATGTTTCATAAGTGTTAAATATTTTTCAAAACATTACAAAAAGTATATGATATGTTTTAAATGATATGCAGCTTTTGGTGACTTGTAACTGTTCTAAACAATTTTAGTTATTAATACCTGGTTTTGTTTCACAGCCTTGCATATCATAATATTGTATTCTTTTTATTAAGTCCCCTTGTGTTTTAGTTGAAACACAAAATGTGCTTATTTTATTTTTGAGACCTAAGGCACAGAATTGTAACTACACTTTTAATTCTTAATATTTTTACTGCATTATGTAATTTCAGAAAGTATAGTACCTTTAAATATTTTCTTAGTTTAAGTATCTATTGAAATTCTTCCATATGGCAGTTTTCACTAACAAATTCTAGCCTTTTATTATACTTTGACTTAAAAATTGTTCCTCAAGGATTTATTAAGCATTAGAATTGCCATATTGGAACACTTAGTATGAGTAAAACAGATCTGTTGGTTTTCATTACCTCATCTATTTTAAGCTTACAATAAGCATTGACCTCTGAAATGACTTTAGTATTCCAGACATATTTTCTAACTTTGTGTTTCCTAAATTGGACATTAAAGTTTATGTTTGAGGAAAAAACTCAGAATCAGATCTCAAAATGTTAAACTGTTTCTGTACTCCTATAATGTGTAAGTGGCAAGAAGCAGGAAAATCAGTAACTTACCAAATAATGAAAAATTAATGCTAGAGAGCATTATATAGTAAAATTTCATTTTTTTCCTTTATTCAGAGTTAGTATAAAATAGCTAAAGCTAGGGAAATAGTATAAAATAGCTAAAACTGGGAATTGAAAATAAGAGAGGCAAATTTTGAAGGAAAGACCAGAACAATCAAGTCTATTTAGCTTACCCTATTTGAATACTTCTGCCTTTAAAATAGATTGATATAGTTTTCATTTTGTAAATACATTGAATAAGTTGCATGTAAATTTTTCAAATAAAAATTGCAGTATGAGAATACCAAGTTTTATTCTTACGTGTCTGTAAAGGGGAGATAATAGTAGCACTGTCTCCAAGTTCTTGAGAAAATAAACACCTGAGGACATACCTGACATGTAAAAAGTGCTAAATAAGTGCACCTTATCATTTCTGATGACTTCTAAAATCTAAGTTTATAGCCAAATTGATTTTAAATATGGATTCACAATTTTTTTTTGTTTTTATTGTCTGTTTTTGTGTTGGGTTTTGTTTTGTTTTGTTTTGTTTTATTTTGAGATGGAGTCTTGCACTGTCCACCAGGCTAGAGTGCAATGGCATGATCTTGGCTCACTGCAACCTCTGCCTTCCAGGTTCACATGATTCTCCTGCCTCAGCCTCCCGAGTAGCTGGGATTATAGGTGCACACCACCATACCTGGTTAATTTCTTAAATTTTTAGTAGAGACGGGGTTTCACTATGTTGGCCAGACTGGTCTTGAACTCCTGACCTGGTGATCCGCCCGCCTCGGTCTTCCAAAGTGCTGGGATTACAGGCGTGAGCCACTGTGCCTGGCCTGTGGTTTTTTTTGAGACATCGTCTCACTGTGTCACACCCAGACTGGAGTGCAGTGGCACAATCATGGCTCACTGCTGCCTCAACCTCCCAGGCTCAGGTGATCCTCCCACCTCAGCCTCCTGAGAAGCTAGGACTACAGGCACAAGCCACCATGCCTGGCTAATTTGCGTATTTTTGTAGAGACTGAGTTTTGCCATGTTGCCCAGGCTAGTCTCAAACTCCTGGGCTCAAGTGGTTCTCTTGCCTCAGCCTCCCAAAGTGCTGGGATTACAAGTGTGAGCCCATGCCTAGCTCACAGTTTGTTTGAACATTTGTGTAGGTGTAAATGATACTCATGGAATATGTGATGAAATCACTAATTAATTTAAATCCCAATTATGCGAGGAAAACTGTATACTTCATGTTATAGAAGAGCTGTATCTCTAGGCCCTCTACGATTTTGGAACTATGTTTTTCTCCCAGTTTTATAAAGCCAGTAAGAGAAGCTTAAGAAACCTTTAGGAAGGGAACAGAAAAGAACACAGAGTAGGTTATAATGGAGGCACAAAGGATGTTAGACAGGAAATAGCCACAAGGCTTATAATATATGGTGCTGATTCAGGTACCTTAAGATAAAATAGCAGTTGTCCAGGATCACTTCTGATGACCTCAGGCTCCTTTCTGTTGCTTTTACCACTTTTCTTGTGCAACTCATGGCTACATATGTAATTAAAACTGATTAGACTAGTTTTGAAAACTAGAATTATAGTTGTTTTTCATTATTCACAGTAGTTCTGTGAAGTTGCTGCAAGCACTGAATTAGAAAATACTGAACCATTGTTCCTAAGAGTAATACAGAGTTAGGTTCCTATGTGGCTCTGGTCACAACAGTATTGATCATCAGTTGATCACTACATAACCTTGTTTACATGTGTTTCTGTTTTAAAAAACTTTATTTAATATGTATTGTTGATTCATTAATATTGAACTTATGGCCAACAGCACTATAGCTCATTCCTGAATGAAGCTTATCTAACACATGTATTTTTTCTGTAAAGCACATCACAGCCTCCTTGTGCTTAAGAGCGTGATAGCACTTCAGCACTGTGCTTAAGGGCCCTTTTAAACGGCAAAATCTACACAAAAGCACAACAGCGTGGCCCTAAATAGACCATGTAAAGGACACTTGTTTATAGTTTGAGAACTAAAACAAGACAGAATGTTGCTTTGCTCAGCCTCAGCTGAGAATGTGCACATTTGGTGACTCAAATTTTTCACTGTTTTGTTCATGCCCGTTGAATTCATGGCACTTTTTCAGTGCCATGAATATTGATTTTGGTGTTACAAATAAATTTTATCATGGAGGTGTGAGGATCAACTGTATAAACTTTATTTTGGTTTCCTACATAATCTGATACCCAGCTTATTAAGTTACTTAATAAGTTTTTATGGTGATAATGAATTTTACATTGATGTAAACTGTTTGTTCTAGTAAGTTCTTACTGTTCCATTCTTTGAATAATTATTTCCCCATAAAACACCTTATGTTTATTTGGTGCTTTTTGGTTTATAGTTTTTCAGATATATCATTTTACTTGGTTTTCCAAATAATTATTTGATTTTTTTAAAAAACTATACAAATCTTAATACCATTTTCTAACTGATGGAAAGACTGAGGCTCTGAGAAGTTGTTATGTCTTGCTCAAAGTCACATAGGTGGGAAATTATTAAGAGTTTGGTGTTGGATTCAGCTTTCTGGCCTGATTCAGTGTATCTTCAAATGTCCTTATATTATACTCTGAATATAATTTTAAGTTCATAAACCCTCCTGGAAAACAGTTTGGAAGCCTCTAGAATGATCTTTAAAAATACCCTTTAATTGGCCGGGCATGGTGGCTCACGCCTGTAATCCCAGCACTTTGGGAGGCCGAGGCAGGCGGATCACGAGGTCAGGAGACCGAGACCATCCTGGCTAACATGGTGAAACCCCGTCTCTACTAAAAATACAAAAAATTAGCCGGGCATGGTGGCGGGTGCCTGTAGTCCCAGCTATTCGGGAGGCTGAGGCAGGAGAATGGCATGAACCTGGGGATGCGGAGCTTGCAGTGAGCCGAGATTGCGCCACTGCACTCCAGCCTGGGCAACAGAGCGAGACTCTGTCTCAAAAAAATAATAAATAAAAATAAATACCCTTTAATCTCTTAATCATGTGTCAGTAGGTAATCAGATGTAAGACCAAAGATTTATTTACAAGGATGTTTCTCTTCGTATTATTTATAGTAGGGGAAAAAATGAAAACAACCTGAATAGCCAACCTAAATAGGGTGAGAGTTTTATCAGTTACGCTACCTATGGAATGGTATTACATAACCACTAAAATACTTTCCTGCCTTAATGATATGGGCTCATATTTAAGATACAATAAGTGAAAAAATACTAAATTATATTTACAGAATGAAGTTTAAAATGCACAAAGGAAAAGAGCTGGAAGTGAATATGTATCATTTTAGCAGTGGTTATCTCTAGGAATTGGACTCATGACTGATTTTATTTGGTTTCTTGCATTTTTATTTATTTTTAAAAATTTTTTCTCTGACTATGCTTCTTTTATTATAATTAAACAAATCTAAAATTGACTGACATAGTATAGTCAACTGCTTATTGTGTTGACAACACTTTTGAAATATTGACAAAAGTTTATTAGAAATTTTATGTCTGAAAATAAGTAATTTTTCAATGTGGCTTTAAGTTAATTGAGCTTCTTTAAACTCAAGAAGGATATAAACTGTGCAGAATCTGGGATGATTACATATATTAAAAAATCAAGAATGTGCAGAATTAGTTATCTCCCATGCATTCCCTCTTAAGCATTTTTTTCTGTAGGTTACTTGTTAGACTTCTCTGTTTTCTGTGTATCTCTCCCAGTTTCCTTTTAATACCCTCTAAGCTTTTTAATGTCTATCTTCAGTTATCCAATCACCACTTTTCATGAATTTTAATAATATTGCTGTATATCTTTTTTTCCCACAAGAGTTTCTCTGAGGTTATTAAAGATATTCTATAATTTACATTCTCAATCATGTGCATTTGACTACTGTAAATGAAGATGGATGTGAGGGGAGGGATCAGTATCTTTTTCCCTCCATTAGAGAGGTCCTTGTTCCAGCACACCTTTTCTTCACTCAGTTGCAGTCTCAACCTTGATGTTCATCATGTTTCCTAGGTACACTGGTTTATTGATCTGTCTGCCTGTATTAACACTGTATAATCTAATTACTGTAGTTTTGTTCTTAAATTATATTGGAGCAGGGTAATTTTTCCAAGTTTGTTATTTCTCAGGAATATCTTAGCTCTTTTTGGCCTTTTGCTCTTCCATTTAGATTTTTTTTTTAGAATAAGCTCTTTGAGTTCCGCGAAAAGCCTTAGGCCTTTTTTTTTTTTTTGGCAGTCTTGCTGTGTTGCCCAGGCTGGAGTGCATTGGCGCAATCTCAACTCACTGCCACCTCCACCTCCTGGGTTCAAGCAATTCTCCCACTTCAGCCTCCTAAGTAGTTGGAATTACAGGCATATACCACCATGCCTGGCTAATTTTTGTATTTTTAGTAGAAAAGGGGTTTTACCATGTTGTCCAAGCTGGTCTTTAACTCCTGAACTCAAGTGATCTACCTGCTGTGGCCTCCCAAAGTGCTGGGATTACAGGCATGAGCTACCATGTCCAGCCAGTCTTACGCCATTTTGATTGAAATTCTATTTGAGCTGTAGATTAATTTACAGAAAGTAACTACTTTTGATACTTAGACCTTTTATGTTTTTTAATGAAGTCATATAATTTCTTATGTAGAAGTTTATATCTCTTGTTAGATTTATTTTTAAAAGAATTTTAATTTTTTTAAATTATGAATTTTTTATTTTTAATTAAAATTTCTGTTTGTGTCTGGGTTATAGAAATGTAGCTGATTAGTTATTGACAACAACCTTGCTAAAGCCTTTTATTATTTCTAATAACTTGGGGTATTTTGGATATATGACATGGGGTAATCATATGTATAAAGACTGAATTTTGTTTTTCTTTCTACTCTTTATAGCATTTAGCTCCTTTAGTCATCCTATTTTATTAGCTAGGATCTCAGTACACTGTGGAATAGACACAGAATGAGCATCCTCATTTTGTTCCTGACTTTAAAGGGTATCATCTTTAAAAGATTGACTTTAAAGGGCTAGTATTTTACCAGTGAGTGTGATTTTATAAAGTGTTTACTTGGATTTTATAAATAACCTCTCCCTCTACACCCCCTTTTTTTTAACTTTTTGTGAATTGTGTATGTTTTTTTCTTTATGCTTTTAATATTAAATAATATATTAATAGATTTTTCTAATGTTGAACCACTTATGCATGCCTGGAGTAAACAGACATGGGCATAATGTCTTATTTTTCTCTACATTGCTGGATTAAATATGTTACTAGTTTTGCGTGTACATTTGTGAATGAAATTGTCTTATAATTTTTTTGTATTGTCTTTGTTATGTTTTGATATCAACATGATAGCCTCAAAATGGGTGGAGACTTGTTCTTTTTTTATGTTCTTTGAAAGGGTTTGGGTTAAATTGAAATTATTAACTGCATGTTTATTAGATTTTGTAAAATCATTTTACCTGGAATTTGCTTTATGTTAAAGAATTTTGTAATATATAGTTTATTTGACTCAATTGTATATATATATATATTTTAGTGATTTGTCCATTTCTTTTCTTTTAAAATGTGCTACATTCTCTCTTGTTTTTTTAAACTCAGCTGCTGTGCCCCCCTCTCATTCCTGGTATTAATTAGAGCTATTTTCTAATCTATTTTATTGGATTTTTCAAAGAAACAACTTTAGGTTTTATTAATCCTTTCTATTTTCACTTTCAGTATGTTCTGTTTCCTTTTGTCTGCTTGTTTAGTTTTTTCTTTAGCTTATTAAATTGTTTAGTTTTCATTGATATTTTCTATTAGAAACATTTAAGTTTAAAAAGTAACATTTTGTATGCTACCTCAGCTGCATTCCATACAGAAGATTAAGCTTCTTAATTGGGTTGCTCAAGTCACTGTATCATTACCAAATTTTTATCTGTTTGCAGCATCATTTATTGAGCGACCTATGGTAAAATCTTCTACCGTGTTGCTATATTTAGGAGGTTCTCTTTGTGGTCCATATTTTGGAGTTTCATTATTAAGTATGTGTAAGTTTAGAATTCTTTCTAATGAATTGAACCTTGTATCAATATGTAGTGACTCATGGTAAAAAGCATTAGCAATGACTATTTATTTTAATTAGTATTGCTTTAAATAATTTATGGCCTTGAATTTTCGACATGTCTCTTGCAAATAGCATATAGGAATAAGCAAATCCTGAAGAGTGGACACTACATTTCTGAACCAGTTTACCTTTAGATTTTGTTTATTTATCATCTCTGGTCTCCATGGGGTTTTCTTACTAACAGCTCAGCAACACATTTAAAATGATTCAGGTTTTTGTGTTTTTTTGATACAGAGTTTTACTCTGTTTCCCAGGCTGGAGTGCAGTGGCGTGATCTTGATTCAGGGCAACCTCTGCCTCCCAGGTTCAGGTGGCTCTTGTGCCTCAGACTCTCAAGTAGCTAGGATTACAGGCATGTGCCACCACACCTGGCTATTTTCTATTTTTAGTAGAGACAGGGTCTACAAAAACTAAAAAAATTAGCCGGGTGTGGTGGTGCGTGCCTATAGTCCCAGCTACTCAGGAGGTTGAGGCAGTAGGACCCTTTGAGCCTAGGAGTTCAAGACTGCAGTAAGATATGATTATGCCACTGCACTCTGGCCTGGGCAACAGAGTGAGACCTTGTCTCTGTTAAAAAACTCTTTACTTAAGAACACATTTGTTACCATTGAGATTAAAAAACAACCAGTATGTTTCAGAGGATGTTAATCATTGTCCCTCAGATTTTCTTAATATACAGTGTGTCTTTTCAGGATGCAGTATTTAAAATGGAGGTTATATTTGTATACTATATGTAATTTATAAAAATGAAGGTTTTCTTTTATCTGAAATTTTCTGTTAGGATCTCTGAATTCTGTTTGATGTATTTATTAATTCTGGGATAAAACTATCCATGTGTTGAATTATCTTTGTCATCTGTGTTCATACTTTTGTCTCTACTCTTTATTATTATCATTATTATTATTTTTTGAGATGGAGGTCTCACTATGTTGGCCAGGCTGGTCTTGAACTGCTGGGCTTAAGTGATCTTCTGGCTTTAGCCTCCTGAGTAGCTGGAATTATAGGTGCATGCCACCATGTCCAGTTTTTGTCTCTAATTATTGTTTTGAGTTTTCTTTTTTCCCTCATTTACTGATTGTCAGTGTTTTTATCCTCCTTGTGTTCATCTTTATAAATTTTTAGTTCATATATTGTATAATGGTTTTTGTTTGATCTCAGTCTGTTTTTTTTCTAGAATCACGCTTTTCATCTGGTTCTAATTGTTTTATGATCTTATGTTTAAGCTTTTATAGGATTTATATTTTAATTTAATTATGAAGCATCTTTGGTTAATTTGCCTTTGTTCTTAATTTGTCTTTGTCCAAATTTGCGGCTGCTTTCCATACTGGGTTATTTGCTTTGTGAATGCTGTGCACATTTTTTCTGGTTTATTATTTTTGTTTTGTTTTTAAGTACACTAGCATAGTTGTTATGCCATTTCTTTTCATCTTTCATCTTGCTCGTGATTGACCTGGGCAAATATATTCAGACTTTTATGTTTTCTCTGATATATTTTAGAGTAATCTTTGAAGTTTTTCCTGTCCTGTTTGGTACAAGGATATTGAAGTTGTATGTCTGCCTTCAGTGTTACAGTTTGGCTAAATTTCTATTCATTTTTCTGTAGCCTAAGAAAAAGAGAGCTCAATTGTAAATTCTTGCTGAGAAACTTGGGTTTAGCTGTCTTAAGATCTTGCTGAAAGTTTTTCCTGAGGTTTTATTCTACGCAGCCTTAGAGATAGAATGATGTCAGAATTATCCCCCACCAGCCATCCCCTCAATTTTGTTAAGTCACCTTATTAATGACAAGCCTTGGTATTTCTTGATACTTAGTGGAAGCCATGCAGTGGTATTCAGGGACTTATGTTCCTGAAGGGATTTTCTTGACTTGTTCAAATTATCTACTCACCATTTCAATTATTTTTCTCCAATTGAGTGGGACTGAGGAGTGGAGTATGTATTAGTCAGTTCAAGCTGCCATAATGATATACCAGAGACTAGGTGGTTTAACAACAGAAATTTGTTTTCTCACAGTTCTGGAGGCTGGTAGTTTGAGATCAGGGTGCCAGCAAGTTTGAGTTCTGCTGAGGGCAGTCTTTGTAGCTTGCAGATGATGACTTTCTTGCTGTGTTCTCACATGGTGAGGAGAAAGAGGAAGAAATCTCTCATTCTACTTTATATAAGGAAGGCCACGGTCCTATTGGATTAGGCTCCCACCCTTATGACTTAATTTAAGCTTAATTGCTTCCTAAAGACCACATCTCCAGATGCAGTCAGATTGTAGGTGTTAGGGATTCAACATATGCATTGTGAGGAAACACAATTTAGTCCATAGCAAAGGGCCAGGGTGAAATGGGTGAGAATTCACATCTACAGTTTTTCATACTGCTAGTACAGGTAGAGCAGGATTAGGAGCTACCTCAGGCAGCCTGCCTCGCCAGAATCATCATCTTTTTTGGCCTTCAGTTTTGAACTTTATGATACATGTGGTCTGTCTCCTTTCTGAAGTTGTTGCCAGTATTTTGAGAGGCACTTGGTTTGTTTGATTTACTGTTTTTAATTCATTTTGCTGAGTATTATGGTAAATAAATTTAGTGTATGAATTTCTATTTTTGAAAGAAAGCCTAGATAAATTTGTTTAAAAATAAAATGAGAGCTGCATTTCATAGCAGACATCCAGAAAACATCCAACTAGATTAAAGAATTAAATGTAAAAAATGATTCTATAAACATTTAAGTGAAAACATTGATGGTAAATACTTGTTTTGTCTTTAATTCGGGGGCTGTTTAAACATAAAAGCAAAAATGTAAATTAAAACGATAAAATAGCAGGTATTTGCCTCTTAAATTGGCAGCGTTTTTTCATTACTGCTAATGCAAATGTACTGATCAGTCGTGTTGTTAGTGGGGTTATAAACTGGTATATCTTGCTGGAAAATAGTATAAAAGTGTCTGTGTATATTTATATCTCAAGCCTTAAAAATGTTTATACCTAAATATATTGTTTCCATAATATTTATTGGCATAGGAAATTGTGTTGAGCACTTTGGCGAGGCCGAATAGCATAGGTCATATGAGTCTGAGTTTTAATACTTGCTCTACCTCTAACTCACTCTGTAATCTTGGACAGTGTAGCTTCTGCTTCAGTCGTATCATCTGTAAAGTGGGGATAATAGCAGGATTTATCATAGGGTTCTTGTGCTGCTTAAATGGCACATAGTTGGTGATTAATATATTATTTTGTTAATAATTAGATACATTATGATACCAGTCATAATTAAAAATGCAGAATACCAAAATTAAAAGAAGTTTAATTCTGGGTTGTAGAGTTCTTGTTTCTGTCTTTATGCTTTTTTTAGTGCTTTCTCATTTTCTCTAATAATAAAATTAATACTGAAAACAGCCATATATTCATAGAGTGTGCCTATTTCCATTAATTTTTTTTTTTTTTTTTTCCGAGACTGAGTCTCACTCTGTTGTCCAGGCTGGAGTGCATGACGTGATCTTGGCTCACTGGAAACTCCGCCTCCCAGGTTCAAGCAATTCTCCTGCCTCAGCCCCCTCAGTAGCTGGGATTACAGGTGTGTACCACCATGCCTGGCTAATTTTTGTATTTTTAGTAGAGACAGGGTTTTGCCATGTTGGCCAGGCTGGTCTCGAATTCCTGACCTCAGGTGATCCACCCCCCTCGGCCTCCCAAAGTGCTGGGATTACAGGTGTAAGCCACTGCGTCCAGCCTATTTCAGTTAAAATTTTAAAATTAGCTCGTCTAATCTATTGCTAAAGCTAAATTCAGTCTACCATTTGAAGATACCTAATTTCTTTATCATTAAAGAGCAAGGAAAGACATTTTTAAAGTTCATTCAGTATTTAATTCCTTAATATACCTTTCAAATATGTAGTCATATATTGAGCTGACCCCCTGCAAATTTAATCCAGGTCCTGAGAGTTTGACTTATTTATTTACATGTTACGTTGGCACCTTTTCAAAACTTGTGATAAATAAAAGTGCTGCCCCTGAGTAATGTCAAGCCTCAGCATTCTGCACACTTTATTCTCCAGAATAAACAGCTGAAAGTTTGACTTCTTATTTACTCTCTGCTGGCTATACCGGTATATTTTGTGGAATAAGATTGGAAAAAGTTGGGGGAAAAGAGAGGATTGGAGAAAAAAGGAAAAGATAAGTCACTTTTGAATATGCCAGGTGATAATAACTAATCTTTTCTTCCGTCTTTTGTTTCTCCTGTATGTCAAGTGGCTATTGAGTGTTCTGGTATTTTCCAAACAAATATAGAATGATTTCATTCAAGAAGCTGTTCTTTTTCTATCTGTGCTTCATGAGAAATGTAAACAGTGGGTACACATGATAATGTCAAAAAGTCTTATGAAATTCTTGTATAATACTTGTATCTACATACAATCTTACAAATGGTATTTGAGTATACCTGGTGTTTTGTGTCTCAGAAATGTATTGCTCTAGCGACATTGCTGTATTTTTTATAGTGTTATTTAAATTGTTTTTTGATAATTTACTTGTGTTTATAAATGCCTAGTATATTTCTTACGTTTTTATGAGATAGAAAAAATGTGAACATATAAACTATTTGTTTTAAGCAAGCTTATATTTTTTCTGAAATCAATTTCAGTGTGTTCAAAAAAAGGCAAAAGTGAGAATTTTTCTTTTTTGACTTTCCTATAGTTAAAAGCAATCTTTTAAATATACGAGTATGATATCTGTAATATTTGGTAGATGCCTAAAGATTGCAGTGCATATACATAAAGTATATGTTAATAACTTTGAACATGAGAAATCTCTTCATTTTTGTCAAAAAATTAGTCATTTAAAAATTTTCATTGACTTTTTAATATATTCACTAACTTTTAAAGTGTCAGATAAGTCTGCATGATTTAAAATTTATAAAGAAGTCACATTATTTTTACATGTAGTTATAAACATAATGCAGAACAGTTTGTATTTTTTTGACTGGTAGGTGTTTTGTAAAATTTTATAGATTATAAGTTTATATATAATAGTAATTCATTTATCATTGCTTCTTTAGATTCCTTAACCTTAGGCACATCTCAACTTTTTATTTATCCATCTTCCATTCCTTGCCAATAGTGTTGCACTTTTCTACAATTTTGGAAAATCTTGGAAATCAGATCCAGGGATTATTAAAGCAACAGAAGAGCAAAAGAAAAAGGTAGCAAAATACCAACTAAGTCACTTGTATTTAACTGCCAGATTATCAGTATTTACAGCAGACATTAGAGGACAGAGGAATTAACTATCGTTTAGAATGTAAAGAAGTTTTAAGCTAAATTGAGATTATGTATCTTTTATTTGGTGCTCATCCTTGGTGCTCTTGTGATGCCTGTCCATAACACTTCCATGACATTTTATAATTTCGTGTTTCTCTCCCTTACAAGACTGCTGTGATTGCTTTGAGGGGTGAATACGGTGTCTTAAACATCTCTGTAAATCTCCAGGAAATAATTTGCATTCAGTAGATGTTTGCTGAATGACTATGTAAACTAGAAGGTTAATAAATTGGTTGATAGTGCAGGTACACCATCCCAGTAGCTAAAATATTTGTATATACCATCCAGGGCATCCCTTTCTTATAATGCAGGTAATTAGGAAACCAATATTATAATCTAACAATGTTGTGTATTTAGAGAACTGGACTAGAAGCATTTTAGATTATTTTAAGAGCTGTTTTATTTAGTCTCTAAAAACAGGACAAATTTTGATAAGTTATTCCAGTCCACAATTGACTAAGACAATGGCAGATTCTTATGGTCTAATCCCCTTTTTTCTGGGCAGCATAGAGATTGCTACCCTGTATTCTTCTTGCAATGAAATAGCAGTAAATAAAAGATTTTATTTCTCTTTTTGAACTCAAAACATCAGTAAATTAAAGATGAAAATCATGTTTATTGATTCATAGTGGTGGCAAAAGAGTTGGTGAGCATTGTTCAGTTTTGAATTAAATATTATTTTTTTAATTCACAGACAATAGTTGAACTTGCAGAGACAGGAAGTCTGGACCTCAGTATATTCTGCAGTACCTGTTTGGTAGTATTTTCTTCTTTGTTCTTCCCTCCCTTCTCTTCCTCCTGACAGTGGCATAGCATAGCGGGTATGGGGTGTGGGGAAAAGGAATAATTATTTTCAATGAACACATTCCCTGCTTCTTGGTATAAGAGGAAAGATGGTTAAAGGATGTCTGCTTCCCAAGGCGCTTATTCCTCGATGGTAGGCCTTGACTGTACTTTTGATTCGGAGGTGCCGTTTATTTGTATTCATTCTCTTTCTCTTTTCTCGCTTAAAATGTTAATAAATTAAAAACTAAGTAATAAAGTATTTCAGATCAAAGATTTATAATGATTCCCTAATAGATTGTTTTCTTTACTACATTTTAAGAAAATTTATACTTGTATTTAAAAGCCACATGGGAAAATCCATTAGATAACTGTTAAGACAACATGGCCTCTAAACAAGTTCAATTTGAGTAGGTGGTTTTTTTTGTTTTGTTTTGTATCAGAATGTTTATGTAACTTTGAACACTGTTTTATCATAGATTTTTAAAGTGGTCATCCTCATCCAGGTCATAGGTAAAGATATATATGAAATTACTAGTATTTATTAATAGAGTCAGGTATAGCACTATTGAGATTGTTTATTATTATAGACATTAATTTTCTGTAGGATAATACTCTTATGTTTAAATTATTTTTCACTTAGTTTTTATAATTAGTATTTGTGAAAAATATATATACTGCCACAGTGCTTAAATTATGTTTTTCTACATGGAAATTGAAATATTCCAAAGTCATACATAAAACTAAATGCTCTTTTATACTTATACACTGCAAGTGAGCTCATGTCTTAGCATCTGATTAATAATAAAGTCATTGACTTCATTTAGGATTATGGAATGAAGTTTTGAAACAGTTCTAATTCTGAAAATTCTTTATTACACTTAATATTCTTTGACCAGTTATGATTTTGAATATTCAAAATATATACAGCTTCATGTTTGGTAGCAACTTTAGGATACCGACCAGATTCTTTTATATATTCCGGCATTCTGAAAACAGTTTTTGTTTCTGTGCTTTACAATGGGTAATTTACAAAATTGATATTCTTTTTCTTAATATTTAGAATGTTTTAATACACTGCTGTTCTGTGGAAATATACTGTTCCACAAAGTATGCAGTGCTGATGTACTTGCCATATGGCAAACAAATTATATAGTCATTCAATACAGATAGCAGTTTCATTGTCAAATACATATTTGATGGCAAGAATAAGACTAATTTTGTCATCATAGCATAAATGTTTTATTATATATTATTTATAAGCCACATACTTCTTGTTGTAAAGAAGATTTCCTATTATAAAATCTTGCAGATCAGCAGAGGTAGTTGTCATTATATGGGTATGCTTCACTTTGGTAAGTAGACAAGTCCCTAAGGCTTGTAGATCAGAGCTTTCTTAAAAACGAATTACTTTGTTGATTGCACCCCTGCACTCCAGCCTGGGCCACAGAGTGAAACCCTGTCTCAAAAAAAGAAAAAAGAAAGGATTACTTTGTAAGTGATCCAAGGAACCTTGAGACCAAGTCACACCTTAACCAGTTAGTCTGTTTTTCAGATTTTTGACAGTGTTGCAGCTGAGGGTTGGAAGTGGGGATAGAAGTTGTTTGAATATCCTGCTGCCTTCTCCTAAGTAGATTTAGTCTAACAACTGTGGTGAAGAATAACTTACCCTTTTCTTTATTCCACAGATAATTTTGGTAGATGTAAGAACTGTGTATTCACTGTGCCTTTTCCTTGGTACCTCAAAATAGTGTGTAACTTTATGCAAACTAATGGAGAAATGGCAGTGCTTTTGTTGAAACGCTGAAGTATATTTATAAATTTTTTTCTGGCAAGAGTTAATAACTGCAGCTCTTTTATCATATGTCTAGCATTAGGACTGCCAGCCCTTTGAAGATCACCAATGAGTTCTTGTATTCACTTGGCTGATTTAGAGTAATGTAGGTTTTAAAAACCATTTCAAAATGCTTGAAAAACAGACATCATAAGCATGGATTCTTTATTGCCTGTCAATAGCTGAATAATGAATTATATGGGGTTTTTTTTTTTGCAAGAAATAGTGACTTCTTAAGCATGTTCTGCATTCTTAAATATGGTCATTTCAGCAGGAGAAATGCTGTACCTTAATCTGAGATCTCAGAAGGCACTTTACTGAAGAGAAATAGATGTGTACATATGGGTTTTTGCTGGATTTGTTAATTTGGGGAAGACAAATATTTTATTGATGATTTTGAATTTTAAGAGCTTTTTAAATTCACTTTTAGCCTGACCTTCCTAGTAAGGAATAATTTTATTTTATTGAAAAACACCAATATCATGACCATTAATCATAATGGAACATCATTTAGAAGACTGGAGATTGATATGTTTTTATTACTCAGAAATTTGAGGGATGTGAATTAAACATAGCATCATTCATCAAATCAAATTGGTAATTCTTAGCTTTTGTAAATTGATGGTTCAGTTCCATTCTTAAGAGCATATTTTCTAGAGTAGCCTCATTCTTTTATTCTTTGTTTTTGCAGTTGAAATTTTATTAAACAATAGTGACTTTTGGTTTCATTCATTTGGAAACCTTGATATAATCTTGTTTAAAAAATATAGTTTTATTTTTTTATAATTATATTTTGAGAAAATAAATAGTCAGCTTTTCTCTCTTAGTATAATGCCTTTCATAATCCTTTAACATGCCTATTAACAGATACGAAAACCGGTGAGGTCCAAACATTGTGGTGTGTGCAACCGCTGTATAGCAAAATTTGATCATCATTGCCCATGGGTGGGTAACTGTGTAGGTAAGTTGTATTAGTAATTTCTTCTGTATCATTCATTTAAGTTACTTTAGGTAATGAATAAAGTATAATATTAAAGTAGGCAATAGAAAGTTTATTACTCCACGCTTCATTTTCTCAGTTATCTTCTGGTTGACAACACAGCAACTCAGTTGAGAGAGGGAGGGAAAAAAATTACAAAATTAGTGGCTGATACCTTTTCTCTGTCAGTTCTATCTGGTGCCTACTCTTGATAAGGAGGCAAAATTTTTTTTTTCTAGTTAAACTAGAGAGATGAAGGCGGTAATATTTGAAATGATATTATGTGCAGAGGTAGAGAGGAATGACAGATAAGAACAGTACACACATTAGTGTTCAAGAATGGTATAGTCTAAGGAGAGAAACTACATGGTTTGAGACATGCCCCGGAGATTTTATGAGGTGACAGGAAACATTACAAAGATTGTTTACCTCTGTTGAAGAGAAACCTTTGGATTGTAAAGTTTATAAAAGTAAAGATAAAATAGGGCTATTTTAAACCTCACAAAGAATAGGATTAGAGGTCAGAATTGTGATTTATTTAGTTCTTTGGGACTTGAACACCATTGTCATCATTATATCTTTGTGTGTAATTGCAAGCATTCTTATTTAAGATTTTTATTAAAACATTTTTCCTGAAAACCACTTTATAAAATAATGAATGTATGTGTGATTATCATCAAAACTGTAGCACACCTTTCATGGCATACCCCTCAAAGGTGCATTACCCGTTGTTTTTTTCTTAGCTGAAAAACCTTGCTTCTGTGTCGTTCTTCAGGTGCAGGCAACCATAGATATTTTATGGGCTACCTATTCTTCTTGCTTTTTATGATCTGCTGGATGATTTATGGTTGTATATCTTGTGAGTACAATTAGTTTTCGGTCTTTTTAAAACAAATTTCTGCATACTTAGATTATACTTACCACACTAACAAATTACTATAATGACAAAGGTCGTTTAACTAAAATTATGGTTTGGACACCTTATGAAGCACAAAAGGGAAAAAAGATACAGCTCTATCAATTATGTCCAATATACAGTGTAAGCAAACAGTTAGCAGTTAACCACCTTTTAATACTTGTGTCCTCTGAAAAACATATTGGTTTAATAGGCTTTGAGAAGCTTCTGGGTGAAATACATCAACATTTTCCACATCATGTGCTTGCTTTACTATAGTAGCTTATAGATTAAGTGATTGTCTTAGTTCTGTTTCTTACCAAGCAGTTGGGAAAATATACTTAAAATTAAATTTGCAGAGAATTTGAAATATTTTGAAAAGTAAGGTATAATTATTGCCTATTAGAGAATATTAGTAAATATCAGAAGTTACCTTTTTAAGAATAAGTTGTTATTCCATCATGTGGGTTTTATACCTTAAAGGAAATGATAGATTTTTGTTGCATTGAGAATGCAGTCTGGAAAGAGTTTAAGTGGATACGTCACTTACGATGCCTCAGGGCTTGGTGGTGCTTGGCATAAAGATGTATTAGATCCTCGTTTAAATACAAGTCTTGGAAGGATGATTTTCTAGTCTTCCTGCCCCACAGATAGTAAAAATAATCAGTGTTATTGCCCTAATGAACCAAAGGAGGTTACCACCTCAGTTAAAGATTAATAGGAAGATTTGGTCAAAGAACTTGACCTAATTTCTGGCCCAGCACACCTGAGGAGAATACTTTCTTGCCAACAACAGCAGTATTTTATAGCAACTCTCCTACAGCAGGAGATTTTGTATTAGGAAAGGCCTACCTTGGCTGGGCATGGTGGCTCATTGCCTATAATCCCAAAACTTTGGGAGGCAGAGGCAGGTGGGCCAGTTGAGGCCAGGAGTTTGAGACCAGCCTGGGCAACGTAGGAAGAGAGACCCCATCTCTACAAAAAATACAAAAATTAGCCCGGTGTGGTAGCGCATGCCTGTAGTCCCAGCTACTCAGGTGGCTGAGGTGGGAGGATTGCTTGGGTCCAGGAGGTCGAGGTTGCAGTGAGCCTTGATTGAGCCACTGCACTCCAGCCTGGGTGACAGAGCGAGACCTTGTCTGGAAAAAAAAGCTCATGTCACCATCCTATTATGTTATATGCCCTCTTTCAAAAAAATCTCTTTCATATATCCTCTCATCTTTGTGTAAAGAAAATGTTTTTCTAAGTATTATGTGATGCAATACCAATCAAATAAAATTGTTAATTCTGAAGATACAGTGATTTTTTTTTAAGATTGGCTGCTCCTTTTCCATTTCTGTGTTTTTTCACTGAGATATAATAGGGTTATTTAAGAGTATAAAGACATTTGCTATTGAATGTCATCAGTTAAATCTAGACTGTTTGACTATGTTTTCTAAATGGTGCCAGCACAAATGCCTATATGAGGTGCTTGGATGATTATTGAGTAAATACGAGTACTTCTGTTCTGGCTTTAGACTGGGGACTCCACTGTGAGACCACTTACACCAAGGATGGATTTTGGACATACATTACTCAGATTGCCACGTGTTCACCTTGGATGTTTTGGATGTTCCTGAACAGTGTTTTCCACTTCATGTGGGTGGCTGTATTACTCATGTGTCAGATGTACCAGGTATGTGCAAAGGCATTCTTTTTAGTGCACTAAGTGAAAACTCTTCCATCCTTGCATAAAAGATAATAATATATTCTCTTCCTAACCACTCCTGCTCTTCAAATATTCATTTTATTTTTCAATTTAGTTTTCCTTTCTACCTCACTCTTTTGCCCCTTCCTCTTCTCATATTGTGAACTTTTGAATTTTAGTACTTATCTCAACAGAAATTTTAATCTGTTATTCCTGACTTAAATACATCCAGTTGAGTATGTGTGAGCTCAGATTGATGATGACATTAATTTTGTGTTTTTAATGGTATTTTTATTCACAAATACTAATATTTATTCAAAAGCCTTTTTTTAATTTTTAAAAGCTCATTCTCAGAGAGGCTGATAGGGAGGTTGTCTGTGCAGGAATAGCGCCTGTCCATGCACAGTGTCAAGTAACCTGTCTTTAAATATTTTCCACATTTAACTGGCTACTTTTCACAGTCAAATGATACCACGTAAACTAGTTCTGATGATCTCCTGATGGAAAACCAAAAACAGACTTCATTGTTTTTATCTTTATCCTAGTTTTCTTCAAATTAATTTTTTTATATTAAGTATTTAGAAAGAATAATGGTTTGTGCAGCCTGGCATGGTGGCTCACACCTGTAATCCCAGCACTTGGAAGCCGAGGTGGGCGGATCACTTGAGCCCAGGAGTTTGAGATCAGCCTGGGCAACATGGTTAAACCCTATCTCTAAAAAAAAAAAAAAAAAAAAAAACCCAACAAAAAAAAGAAAATTAGCCGGGCATGGTGCATGCGCCTGTAATCCCAGCTGCTGGTGGGGTGGGGGTTTTGGGGTGGGGGGAGGTGGCGGGGGTGGAATCACTTGAGCCCACCCAAGAGGGAGCTGAGAATTCGCCATTGCATTTTAGCCTGGGTGACAGGGCAAGGTCCTGTCTCAAAAAAAAAAAAAAAAAACAAGAATAATGGTTTGCTTTTTCTTTCCTCTTAGATATCATGTTTAGGTATTACTACAAATGAAAGAATGAATGCCAGGAGATACAAGCACTTTAAAGTCACAACAACGTCTATTGAAAGCCCATTCAAGTATGTACATATTTATAAATTTAATATTTTACCTGGTCATAAAAATTTTCTTACTAACCAGACTCTTTTACTTAGTGATATGTAAAATAGCTTTTAAACCTTTTTAAGATTTCTGTAGAAATAGCATCAGTTCACCATAATAACAACAAAACAGAATTCATCACATTAACTGTATATAATAAAGTTGTGATATCTCCTTATATTTTTTTCTTTTTAATTTTAAATTTGTATTCAGTCTGGTGCTTAGAAATAGTAGGGTCCTAAGTATATGAAATATTTAAAACTTTGAGTTTTACTGAAGTTATTACCAACTCTTCAGCTTTTGTGGTGCTGTCAATTATGGCATACTTCTGGAAAGCAAGCAGACCTTTAAATAAAAACAGAGTTAGTTGGGTAGTTTTGAGAATTCTCCCATAGGTACAAAAATTATATAAGGCACAAAACTGACTGCTTTTCTTTTCTTTTTTTTAGACAGAGTCTTGCTCTGTCACCCAGGCTGGAGTGCAGTGGCATGATCTCGGCTCACTGCTACCTCCACCTCCTGGGTTTAAGCACTTCTCTGCCTCAGCCTCCTGAGTAGCTGGGATTACAGGCATGCACCACGCCCAGCTAGTTTTTGTATTTTTAGTAGAGATGGGGTTTCACCATCTTGGCCAGGCTGGTCCTGAACTCCTGACCTCATGATCCACCCGCCTCGGCCTCCCAAAGTGCTAGGATTACTTACCGACGTGAACCACTGGTGCGCACCTGGCCAAAACTGACTGCTTTTCTAAAGGTGTTACTGGAGTACTAAAATTTCATGAACTTATCCTTGACATTTCTTTTTTAAGTTGTTATCCTTAGGTTCACTGCCAGATTCATGCTATTTATAATTATTTTGTCTTTTACTTTTTTTCTGTTTTAGAGATAGTTTGTCTCCTGCCAAAGAGCCACTAATTAAAGGTTTTTATCAAAAATTACATATGGAGCCAGGCATGTTGGTGCATGTCTGTAGTCCTAGCTACTTGGGAGGCTGAGGTGAGAGGATTGCTTGAGCCCAGAGTTCGAGGCCAGGCCGGGCAACATAGTTAAGACCTCATCTCTAAAAATAAAAATAAAAATGCATATAACACAGAAAGTATATGCACATTTGAATAAATTTAAAATATAATTGTGTAAGTCTTTAAATTGGCAAAAGAAAAAATCATTGTTGGCAGAGCAGTGGAGAAACATGAAGGCATATATATTTTATAGAGTTATGAATTGGTTCCTTCTTGCAAGTAACCTGAGTTTTTAAGTTTAGAAAAAAATATATTTAACACGAAAATTATATTGAATTCATGTATTAAATCATTTGTACTGACTGACGTGTTTTCTTTTTGGGGTGCTGTTTTTAGCCATGGATGTGTAAGAAATATTATAGACTTCTTTGAATTTCGATGCTGTGGCCTCTTTCGTCCTGTTATCGTGGACTGGACCAGGCAGTATACAATAGAATATGACCAAATATCAGGATCTGGGTACCAGCTGGTGTAGCGACATCTTATCCTATGAAGCATATTGCTGAGTGGTGCCTGAAAATTGTGTCTGTCCGTGTCTTTCTCACACTCGAATCCACATCCTTTGAACAAGAGCATGCTATGTGTAGGGCTAATGGTGAATTTTACAGTCTTTTTTTCAACACTTTTATTAACAAAAGTAAACATGGACAGAACACACTGCCATTTCTGGGAAGAGTAAAGATGATAAAAAATAATTTTAATGGTTCTTAATGTGGAAATTCACAACATACTCAACTTTTGGGTTTTGTTCTCACAGTATTTTTCACAAAAAAAGGGTAAACTTATTCTATTGACAGACATGGTGTACTGATCAGAAATGTTCAGTTTTAACTAAAACTAAATTTATGTTATTTGGCTAAATGTTATGATGCAGTCTAGTACGAGTATTGCATCTAATTCCAGGAGCATTGTTTTAAGTTGATTGACTAGTTATTATGTACATTTCAGAATGTACACATAAATACTGTGATGAAAATCATGTGATTGGGATCTACTGTGATGTTGTCTTCAAAGGCAGGAGAAAATAATGTTCACAATAAAATGTGCTAACAATGTTTTGTTTCTATCAGCTGTTGCAATGCTGATATATTTCTAGTTCAGTGAAATAATTTGTAGTAACCTTACTCTGAGGTTTTACGGTCTGATAATGAAGCACTTGCATGAGTATAGTAAGTCATGTTTTTTTGTTCAAATTTAAAAGCCCTGCTAATTGCATGACACACCACATAGAATGTATACTAGC
This sequence comes from Homo sapiens, assembly GCF_000001405.40. Classification (NCBI taxonomy): domain Eukaryota; kingdom Metazoa; phylum Chordata; class Mammalia; order Primates; family Hominidae; genus Homo; species Homo sapiens. The sequence continues at coordinate 76,851,754 of NC_000012.12, forward strand.
AGATACTATCCAGTGAAGCATAAATTAGAATTTAATTTGATGTTCAAAAACAGTTCCATTTTTAAGGGTTAAGGTGGTATTTTCAAGAAAAGGCAGAACAAATAATGCAAAATTCTCAGTAATAGTGATACATGGATATACTTCCTTTTAAATTCTCAGCTGCAAAATAATTGTAGACAAAATAATGGCATTTAACTAAAGATGGAGCATGATCTAAGTACATAGCACATGTGAATAAAAGAAAAGCTGACAGTATATTCTGGTTTCAATAAAATGACCTATCAGAAAGTAGAATTTCATCCCCAAGAGTATTTCAGTTTATCCAATATTGAGTAAGTTCTGAAACAGTTTTAGAAAAAATTTTCTTTTTGTTAAATGTGATGCACTGATCAATTTTTGTCACAGCATTTTCATACCTTCATGGTGGACTACTAGTCACTGCTTCCATAAATATTGTTTACAGGGTGAGATTTGGTTTATTCATCTTAAGTGCTGTAGCAAACTGTGGTTCGAGCAACCTGTGGGAAATCTGTGAGAGGGAATGGGGTGGGAGATGTGGGGGAATGGTGGTCAGACTGATGACAGATCCTAGACCAATGTAAAGAATGTGTATCTGTATATAAATAATTTATCAAATAGTTTTCTCTTTGTGTCTGTGTTAGTGTTTTTAAAGCTGCTCATTTCATTTTGTCCAACCAAAAAGAAAAGGGAGATAACTAATGAGCTTCTAGTGATGTTCAAAATTGCTGTTAATAGGCATTATACCCTGCAAGTTCACTGCATGTCTGATGCTTGGTAAAACTAGTCTTCCCTGTAAAATGCAGATTACAGGTATTAAAGCAATCTAGTGGTATACCCGCCCCTTGCCTTAGTAAGAGGAGCAGTGAAATGTATATAGTTGATGTTCAGTATTTCCAAGTACCATTTTTATATAGTAGCTTATTTGACCATAAGTCACACATCAAAAAAAGATTACCCTTAGTGTATGTGTTTTAATATTAGAAAATTGGCATATGTACTTTATTTTTGAAAAGGGAAGAGATGGGTGTGGGGTGGCAATAGCATTGTGCCATTTTGTCATAGAATGTAAAAATTGGTTAACTTTACAAATGTCAGCTAGTTTTGACTACTAATTGGGGGAAATTTTAGATAATTTTTAAATTCAAAGTTATTTATAAAATGCTAGAATTTGTTTTAATTTTTTGTATTTTGAGCCACTTCACATGAAGACTCAGTTGCATTTTTATCGAATACATTTTTATCAACAGTTAAAGACTATGGTGGTTTTTTCAGAGTTTGGCTAAGAATGTTGTTACCATCTTCTTTGTTTGTGGTACAATATTTTCAGTGCAAAAGAGATGTCATTCAGTTAAAAAGACAAACCTCTAGATGTGTAATTACATGGAAAATACTAGCAATGTGAATGCTTTTGTAGTAACCATCTTGTAGTACCTGTGAAATCTATAACTCAGAAATGGTCAGATGGTCAGGAGCCAGCTATGCAGCAGTATACCATCTGTTTAATTATTTTGTAGGTCCTGTGTGTGGAACCAACTATAAACCCAGTTCTAAAGTTGTGTATGATGGTGAACCTTTGGGAATAGTTCTTATCAACTTAATTGGATACTTTTAGCAAATAGGAACTTAATTCTCAGCACTGAACATGAATTACTTCCTTGGAGTTTTTTTTCATTCATATTTTTGTTGTTTCCAGGAATTTATTTGATATTAATGGGCGTAAAACAGCATCATTGTACTTAAGCTATGGATGTTTTTATTTTATATTTTCTTTATTTATAACTGTGCCAAGTATTATTTTGCTACTTACCGTGTTATTCTGTGGAAAGAAAAACCTGTAAAGTGTTTAATAAATTAGCCCTCCTTACATAAATTAAATGTCAAAATTTTGTAAAATATTAATCAGAATAAATACTGACTCTTAAGTGTGTGCTTATGATTTCACTCAATTTACTTCAGGAAATTGATGAAATGATAGTGGTACCTATGATATGAAAAGATTATACATTTATATCCTGGTTAACTAGGAGTCAAGTGGCATAAGACTGTAGGAATTTGGAAAAATAAAAGATGGTGTTAGTATTCTAAAAAAAAAAAAAAATTTCCAATCCTGTGTGTATGCATGTGTGTGTGTGTGTAATTTTTTTTTAAATAAAGATAATAAATTTTTTAAGAATTTTTGAATTCCATGTAGTTAATTAGGATCCTCAGGGACTGTATGAATCTCCAAGTTTTAAATATGTCTAAAGATACTAAAGAAAAATATTGCAAAATGTACTATATAAAGAAAAATACT